>NC_000024.10:6643635-6944045 GCF_000001405.40 Homo sapiens | reverse complement strand
AGTGGAAAAAGACAGGACCCTGTCAAGTGTGAGTGATGTGGCCCAGCATGGTGCAGGGTGAGTGACACAACTCAATGTGAGTGGCATAGCCTAGAATGGCCCACTGTGGGTGACGTGGCCCAGTGTGGTCTGGTGTGGCTGACATGGCCCAGTGTGGCTGACACTGCCTAGTAAGGATGACTTGGCCCATTGTGCCCTTAGCCAGCTGTGGCAATGAGGCTACACAGATACAAAATATTTCCATATGGTAGAAAGTTCTACTGGGCATTCTGAGTTAGACCATCTTCATGCTTTAGTTGGTTTTGGTTTATTCTCCAGATATTGGTTTTTAAAGCTTTAGTTTTGGGGGCTTTGGTTGGTTGCTTGGTTTTTGTGGTTCAAACAGCAATCAAACAGCATGACTTTTCTTTCAATAAATACCATTGGTATCCTTATGGCTCAGTTCTCCATTCACAATCAAATTCGGAAGGAAAATACAGTATCCTTGGGATGCAAAACCCCAGATACAGAGTGCTGACTTTTCCTATCACCAGGTTTTGCAGGGTACACTGCAGGATTTGAGTGTGCATGCATTTGGGTATCCGCAAGAGGTCCTGGAACCAATCCCCCAAAGATATTAAGCAATGACTGTAATGAGTGCAAATAAGCTCTTAAACAAAAGGCCTTGAATCAAGTACACTAAATGAGGCTGCTCTAATTCTAGGTAGGGGTCATGGCAGGAGGAAGTCAGTCCTGGCCAGCAGCCTCCCCATCCCCAAGCATGTACTCTGCTCCCCAGCTATAAAATCTGAAAGCCTGGGTTGCTTCCTGTATCCAGTAGACCCACCATCTCTGTCTTTCCTTTCTCCCTTAGAACACCAAGACCTTCACATTAGTCATCTCTAGGCAAAACTTTAAGATAAATCATCTTCTGCTTCCAAATGTTTCACATTTATGACCTTCCCATCTGTCTCTACTCTCCTTTTCCAAGGCTAAACCCTCAAAAATCTCCCTCCTGCAAAAATTATGTCCTGTGCTTCCATTCTTTATCTTATCTCTTGAATCTCTTTCCCTCTCCTGCCCAAGAGACAGTGTCTCATTCTGTTGTCCAGGGTGGAGAGCAGTGAATGATTATAGCTCACTGCAGCTTTGACCTACTGGACTCAAGCAATCCTACCAACCTCAGCGTTCCAAAGCACTGAGATTACAGACATGAGCCACTGCCCCTGGTCCTCTCAAAGCTATTTTACTCAACCAGTCTCCCCTAGTATAAAAAGTCTTTCCCCAACACCTGCTTTCCTATCAAGTGCTGTTCCATTTCTCCCCTTATCTGCAAGGAGAACCTCTCCAAGGAGACGTGCGTTGACAATACCCTCATCTTTTTATCCACTATCCCATTTATGCCATCTTCAGCCAGCCGCAAATGCACCGCCCCTACCCTGGAAGCCAACATGAACACTAAGGCCTCTACGTTGCAAGGACACCTCTGCAGCCCTGATAACTCTAGGTCTCCTCTTGCCTCTCTTGTCAATCTCTGCTCACTCTTCAGGATCTCTTAGGAGCACACCCTGTCAAGGAACTCCTCCTCTTCCAGTCTCCCTGGCCTCTAGTCCCAGGCCATCTCACCAGCTATTAGCCTCATTTCAATTCCTATGTCCAGAGCTCCCTTTTTACACCTTTGCCTTGTGTCTTCCAAGTACACCACAGTCCCCCGGGGGTCAAAGTTCTGCTACTTATTCTGGAAGAGGAGGTGGTTGGTAAATAGCTGCTAAATCCAGCATCAAGGTTCTTGACTCCAAGTGTGATTTGCCTCCTTTAACTCTTCCATGCACATATTCCAGTTTATGGTTACCTAAAAGGAAGGCAGGCTGCGAGGATTATTTATTTATTTACTTAATTTATGATTATTTTTTAACACTATGTCTTGCTCTGCACCAAGGATGGAATGCGATGGCACTATCTTGGCTCACCACAGCCCCCAACTCCCGGGTTCCAGCGATTCTCCTGCCTCTGCCTCCCAAGTAGCTGAGATTACAGGCGCACACCACCACGCCAGGCTAATTTTTTATTTTTAGTAGAGAAGGGATTTCACCATGTTGGTCAGATTACTCTCGAACTACTGATCTCAGGTGATCCACCAGCCTCAGCCTCCCAAAGTGCTGGGACTACAGCATGAGCCACCATGCCAAGGAGAGAAAAGTATTTAGAGCATCAAGTAATGGAAACCAGGGAAGATTAAATCCCTCAATGGTGAAGGAAGATTACGATAATCAGCCCCACCCACAACACCAACTGCCCAACCCACAATGTCAACACTCACTGAAGACCATCTTCCCATAAGCTCTGCTCCTACCAAGAAATACTCCAGACAAGGAGATCAAAGGGCCACATGTCCACCTCCTCAAAGTTATTCTTAGATCTTGTCAGAGTAGGACTGGAGAAATGAGAGACTTCCCACTCCACAATTGTTCTGGCAGCTTTTAAAGTAGGTTAGCATGAAAAATCACCTGAGCTACCACTGCTGTTTTGTTTTGTTTTGTTTTTTTGAAATGGAGTTTCCCTCCTGTTGCCCCAAATGGAATGCAGTGGCGCAATCTCGCTCATTGAAACCTCAGCCTCCTGGATTCAAGCTATTCTCCTGCCTCAGTCTCCAGAATAGCTGGGACTACAGGTGTCTGCCACCACACCCGGCTACTTTTTGCAGTTTTAGTAGAGACGGGGTTTCTCCATGTTTGTCAGGCTGGTCTTGAACTCCTGACCTCAGGTGATCTGCCCACCTGTGCCTCCCAAAGTGCTGGGATTACATGCTGAGCCACTGCAACCAGCCGACAGAAGCTTTAAATTTGCCTGCATGATTTATCTTGGCTTCCTATACCTGACAGGAGAAGCACAAACAAAAATATGCCCCAGGATCCCCTGATCCCAGAATGAGGACATAAACCTTAAACCTTAAACCTAGCCCAGAACCTGACCAGGCCTTCCTATTCCCAAATGAGCCCATGAGAGACACAGCTTAACACCGAGTAGTGAGCAAGAAAGAAATAATTTAAGCCTCTGAATTTGGAGGCCATTTGTTGTGCAACATTAGCCTGGCAGAAACCTGATCAATACACTCCCAAATTATTTTTGAACCAAAATGCTGATTAACAAGCTGATTATCATGGTTGAGTCTTCTGTCTCTAACTCCACCAGTCTTCTTCCACCATTCTGTGAAGCCACAAGCCCAGAGGCTCTTGATTCCGGCCCCAGAAATGCAAACATGCATCAGGAAAAGTCCTGGGAGCCAGGCCCCATGAGCCACCTCTCCTTGCATCATGGTGGTCTCATTCCTTATCCACAGCTGACACAGGTGACACAGACTCTGAGACTCCAAGTCCAGAAAAGTGGCTCTGGCAGAGTCCCAAATAAAGTCCCAAACCAAGGGTGGCAGGACCCAGACCAGGAGGTACTTGAAAAGGAATGAGGACCTAGACCCACAAGTGTGTCTCTGAGCTGCTCAGCAATCTCGGAGCTTTCCAAAATGGAAAGCAAACCTTGGCTCACTCAGAGGTAAGTCAAGACTCAGAGAGCAGGCATGGTGGTGCATGCCTGTAATCCCAGCACTTTGGGAGGCTTTGGGAGGCCAAGCAGGGAGGATCATTTGAGCCATAGAGTTCAAGACCAGCCTGGAAAACAAAGTGAGACTCTACCAAAGTGTGTCTCTATCAATCAATCAATCAATCAATGAAGACCCAGTGAGTGAGCAGGCATACAAACCAAATGGTTCAACAGTACTGGATTTTTGAACTATTATTATGAATTTTTTTTTTTTTGAAAGGGAGTCTGTCCTCCAGCTGGAGGGCAGTGGTGCGATCTCCGCTTACTGCAAGCTCCGCCTTCCCGGTTCATGCCATTCTCTTGCCTCGGCCTCATGAATAGGTGGGCCTACAGGCACGGGTCACCACGCCCGCCTTTTTTTTTTTTTTTTTTTTTTGTATTTTTAGTAGAGATGGGGCTTCACCATGTTAGCCAGGATGGTCTCGATTTCCTGACCTGGTGATCTGCCCGCCTTAGCCTTCCAAAGTGCTGGGATTACAGGTGTGAGCTGCCGCGCCCAGCCAGATTTCTGAATTAAGAGACAAAAAAACACAGGAGGCCGAGGCAGGCAGATCACCTGAAGCGGCTGGGAGTTCAAGATCAGACTGACCAATGTGGAGAAATCCCATTTCTACTAAAAACACAAAAAATTAGATGGGTGTGGTGGTACACACCTATAATCCCAGCTACTTGGGAGGCTGAGGCAAGAGAATCCCTTGAACCCAGGAGGTGGAGGTTACAGTGAGCCGAGATTGCATGCCACTAATTCCAACCTGGGCAACAAGGCCTAAACTCCCTCTTAAAAAAAAAAAAAAGGAAAAAAAAAAAAGAGACAAAAAAAACAAATGTTAAATAACCTATAAATCTTGCAGGCAAAGGAAGTAAGTCTCTCCTTGAAGACTGACAAAGTAATAGGCAGAATTATGGCCCCCCAAAGATCCCCATGTCCCAAACCCTGGGATATGTAAATGTATTTCCTTATATGGAAAAAGGGACTTCACAGGTGTGATTACATTAAGGATCTTTAGATGTGGGAGTTATTATTGAGTGGTGACGCCAGCTGGGCTTCTGGGTAGGGTGGGGACTTGCAGAACTTGTTTATCTAGCTAGAGGATTGTAAACGCCCCAATCAGCGCTCTGGGCCTAGCTAAAGGTTTGTAAACACACCAATCAGCACTCTGTAAAAATGCACCAATCAGCGCTCTGTGTCTAGCTAAAGGTTTGTAAACACACCAATCAGCACTCTGTAAAAACACACCAATCAGCGCTCTGTGTCTAGCTAAAGGTTTGTAAATGCACCAATCAGCACTCTGTAAAAACACACCAATCAGCATTCTGCAAAACGGACCAATCAGCACTCTGTAAAATGCACCAATCAGCGGGACGTTGGCAGGGAATAAAAGCTGGCCACCAGAGCCAGCAGTGGCAACCCACTTGGGTCCCCTTCCATGCTGTGGCAGCTTTGTTCTTCTGCCCTTCACAGTAAATCTTGCTGCTGCTCACTCTTTGGGTCTGCACTACCTTTATGAGCTGTAACACTCACAGCAAAGGTCTGCAGCTTCACTACTGAGGTCAGCGAGACCAAGAACCCACAGGGAGGAACAAACAACTCTGGACGTGCCAGCTTTAAGAGCTGTAACACTCTCTGCAAAGGTCTGCATCTTCACTCCTGAAGTCAGCAAGACCACGAACCCACCGGAAGGAAGAAGTGCTGGACACATCTGAACATCTGAAGGAACAAACTCTGGACACATCATCTTTAAGAACTTAACACTCACCTCAAGGGTACATGGCTTCATTCTTGAAGTCAGCGAGACCAAGAACCCACTGGAAGGAACCAAGGAAGCTCTACATTATGGATCTTCCAGGTGGGCCCAATGTAATCACAGGAGCCCATAAAAGTGGATAGCCTTCTCAGCTACAGTCTGAGTGATATGTGCCTATGGAAAGAGAGTTGAAGAGGTGCTATGCAGCTCCTCTGCAGATGGAAGAAAGGGCCACAAGCCCAGGAATATCGCCAGCCTCCAGGAGCCAGAAAAAGCAAGGATGCCAATTCTCCCCTAGAGCTTCCAGAAATGTCATGGCCCTGCTGAAATCTCGATTTTAGCAGAGCAAGACTCATTTCAGACTTCTGGCCTTCCAAACCTTGAGATAATAAATGGTGTTAAAGCCAGTGAGTGTGTGGTAATTTCTCACAGTAGTGACAGGAAACTAATATGATCAATTATAACGTCAACCAGGAAAGTAAAACGGTCTTCAGTATTATCAATAAGCCTTGAGTTGAAGGTACAGATGCCACAGAAAGTCGTGTCCCATAAATGGTTTCAACAAATCACCCTCTGGCTTCTCCAATCCAACCTGGGAACAGTAATTTTGGTCATACAGAGACAACAGGTTGATAAATTCAAAAAAAGTAAACAACCTTATGATTATGTTTGTGGGTCATTCAGGGTTGTGGCTTTGGGAAGACCACAGAAGACAGCCTAACTCTTGCTGCTGGGAATCCCATGACCTCAGCCCTGGAGGGAATGTCACACAAGCCCCTTGGGAAATGCAAGCTTCCTAACTCTCATGCCAAGAAGGGACCTTCTGACTCCATCCAAAAGATGCAGCACAGGAGAGACCTGCAGGGCCAGTTTTAACTGACCAAAATTGTTTTCTACAATGACCTTTAGGTACAGGAAAGTGGGAGAAATGTGGAGGAGATAAAGAAAATGGGAAGGGAGAAAATTACAGTTCATGCTAGAATGGAAGGTGAACTATAAACAATTTTGTGAACAATGTTCCATTTGTGAATGATTTTTCATTTTAAATGTAATTGGAGGGAAGGGTAGCCTGTGTCTCCAGCTGCCTTATCTCAGAATATCATCCTGCCTTCCTTAATCACCCAGGGTTGGTTGGTTGGTTTGTGTGTCTTCTTATGAAATGGAGTCTCACTCTGTCACCTGGGCTGGAGTACAACTGCATGATCTTGGCTCACTGCAACCTCCACAACCCATATTCAAGTGATTCTCCTGCCTCAGTCTTCCGAGACTGAAATTATAGGCGTCTGCCACCATGCCTGGCTAATTTTTCTATTTTTAGTAGAAACAGGGTTTCACCATGTTTGCCAGGCTGGTGTCAAACTTCTGACTTCAAGTGATAAACCTGACTCGGCCTCCCAAAGTGCTGGGATTACAGGCATGAGCCAAAGTGCCCAGCCCACCCAGGGTTTTGACAGAAAGTCTGCCACAAAGGTAGAATTTCATAAATTCTACAACATGTATGAAATTCAGGAATAATTGCAGTGAAGCAATCAGGTACAAAAGGTCACAGTATCTGTGAAACGTCCAGAGGAGTAAACCGATGAAGGCAGAAAGTAGATTCAGGGTTACCAGGGAGCACAGGAGAAGGGGAAGTGGCAGTAATGTCTTAATGGGTGTAGGGTCTCTTTGGGGAGCAATGAAAATGTGTGAGAATTAGATGGTGATTGTTACACAACTTTGTAAATATACTAGGAAATTCCTGAATTATACACTTTAGGGAAGTGTGTTGAGTGTATGCTCCGTAAAACTGTCAGTAAAAAGGAGAAGAAGAAACTAGGATATTAACCAATGATTACAAGTCACTGCAAATCTAAAATTTAACCATCCTAAAAAGATAAGCCTCCTTACAGAGCCTGGAATCCTCCTGGAATCCGTTCCATACCACATCTCATAAGTGAAGAACCTGAAAGGAAAGAACTGAGGTCAACAGCAAAGATGAGAAGCAGTGACCAGAGGTAACTGCAGATTAAGCTCAAAGGCAAAGTGGAAGAGCAGGGCTTTATCATCAAATTCAAGAAAATGCTTTTGCGAAAAAGGGTCCACGCTAACTTAAAGCTGCTCTCTGAACCAAAAGTATTATCTTTCCCCCGAAATAAAAGAACAACAAAACAATGATAACAAACACACTGGTTATTACACATTTTCTGGTTAACATTCTAGCTGCTCCAAGCCTTGTTTGATCAGAAGCCTGAAGGGCAAAATTGTCTCCTTTGGTGCACTGACTTGGATCTCCTTGTTTTTCACAGGACAAAGAGATGAAGAAAATGGATTTTGTTTGCCTGTGAAAGGCAAGCTCAGTAAGTAGCTATACTTGGCCCAAAAGTTCCAGGGGGCAGAGCAGCACCTCAGATGCCCTGGTAACCAGGCACAACTACAAGCCTATATCACCTGACCATACCATCAGAAGTCCATTGCCAGCATCCACAGCAGAGAGAGGGTACAATTTGGCCCAACGATGGCTGACACCTATTTGGAGGAATGTCATGGCTTGTGTTTCACACACATCAGCACCCAAGCCACCTACCCTGAGTTATTCTTGGAACAGTGTAGGAGAGAAATATCTGGAACAACCAGCAAAGGAAAAACTACCACAATTTATATAAGACTTCCTTTAAGGCAGCAGCCCTCAAAGTCGGTGCGGTCCTTGGACCATTACCATGGGTGTCAACTGGGAGCTCCTTAGAAAGGCAGTGTCATAGACACGCCCCTCATTCACTGAATCACAAACTGGGATTGGGAATTGGGATTCAGTGTTTTAGTTGGTGTTCTGTTTATTTCATTTTTTGTTCTGAGACAGAATCTCGCTCTGTCACCCCAGTAGGACTGCAGTGGCACAATCATGGCACACTGTAGTCTCAACCTCCTGGGCTCAAGGGCCTCCTGTCTTAGCCTCCAAATAGCTGGGGCTACAGGCTCATGCACCACCACACTCAGTGATTTTTTAGAGCTGAGGTGTCCCTATGTTGTGAAGGATGGTCTTGAGCAATCGACCTTCAACCTCCCAAACTGACAGGATTCAAGGCATGAACCATGGCACTGCACTGTACTCTGTGTTTTAACAAGTTCTGCAAGTGGTTCTGATGCATAATGAAGTTTGAGAACCACTGGACAGCCACATAAACATTTACAGCAGCATTATTCACAATTGTCACAATAAAAAACAAGGTAACAACCCAAACATCCAACAATAAACAAACCAAGGTGCATGCATAAAGGATGGAATCCTACCCAGTAATACAGAGGAATGGGTTAGTGACACGTGCAACAACATGAAGCACCAAAATCATGATGCTGAGGGAAAGATGCCAGGCAAAATAATGAGTACAATTTCAGTAACGTCAAGGTGCAGAAAATGCAAACTATTCTATAGTCACAGAACACCCAACAATGGCTGTCTAGGGAAAGGGGTACAGAGATGGGGAGCGACATTATAAAAAGGCACAAGTAAACTTTGCAGAGTGACAGAAATATTCTTTGATTGTGGTGCTGGTTTCACAAATATTTGTGTCTACATATGGATGAAAAAATGTGACACCTATAATCCCAACACTTTGGGAGGTGCTTGAGGCAGGAGGATCTCCCTTAAGTCTAGGAGTCCAAGACCAGCAGCCTGGGCAATTTGGAAAAAAACCTTCTCTACCAAAAAAAAAAAGAAAAAGAAAAGAAAAGAAAATTAGCCAAGTATAGTGGCATGCATTTAGTCCCAGCTACTTGGGAGGCTGAGGTGGTAGGATCGCTCGATCACAAGGGTTGAGGCAAAGGCTGCAGGACTGTGCCACTGGGCTCCAGCCTGGTAACAAAGCAAGATCTTGATATAAAAAGGAAAAAAAAAGGATTGGGTGTGGTGGCTTACACCAGTAATCCCAGCACCCTGGGAGGCCAAGGTGGGAGGACTGCTTCAGCCCAGGAGTTTGACATCAACCTGGACAAGAGTGAGACCCCATCTCTATGAATAATATACCAAAAAAGAAAGAAAAGATGGGCTAAACTCTACCTTAATGTCTAGCTTACTGTATTTCAATATACCTCCATCAAGATACAAAAATATGGAAAGCAGACAGAGTGAAACTAATAACAGTCCATTTAGATAAAAACAGCAGACTACATATTTGTGTATGGACAGTTGAAAGTGGTAGAGAAAAATCCATAATGTTGCCCTCTAGACAGAACTGGTGATTCTGCTAGATAAGGAAGGAAAGAACTCTACAGTGCTTGGATTCTTTGAAATAAGTATACAATTAGCTATCACCTGGGAGTGGAGCGTGGTTGGGGAAAATGAGCTTGGGGCAGGCAAAAAGATACCTAGGAGCACAAATCAAAGCTAATGAGAGGGAGGAAAGCAGATGCAGCAAGCTTCAGGGGAGAAGGAGAAAAAGGCCCAGCCAGGCAGGAAAGGAGGAGAGTTAGCACTCACTAATAAGTATTAAGTAGAGAAGGGGGGCAGGTGTGGACACTCGTTATTCAGGGAACAGACACAGATGAACATGACCATCAGATTGAAGCCAAGGGACGGTCATGGTTTCTCTGCCTACAAAACATTTTACTTTTCACTGGTAAATGAATGCTTCTAACAGGTTTGAAAGTCTTTTTTTTTTTCCTTCAAAACTCAAGCTTGAAAGTCTTATCATTTTTGCTTTAGAGGGAAATCCCTATTTCCATGGAATATTCCCTATTTCCACGGAATATATGCAGACTAAAAGACACTTGTATTTCTTTCATAAGCTCCATGGGATTTTTATTCCTTCAACTTCATTATGGAGAATGTAAGTACCTCATTTACAGCTATCAGCAGGTGCAAAACTTCTAAGGCCAGATTTCTTAACCTCCCCAGTGCTGACCTTTTGGAGCTGGATAACTCTTTGTTGGCAGAGGAGGGGACCATCCTCTGTATTGAAGGAGGCCATTGCTGGCCTCTACCCATTACATTCCAAGAACACACCTTCTTCCTTTATAATAATCAACCTGTACATTGGGAGCTTTCTGCCCTGGATTGAGGACAACACAGCAAAGGTATATCCTGGGCCAACATCCAGCTTCCCTCCAAGCATGAGGTTCACAGGCAGGTTCTTTCACGATGAAAGACAGGGGCAGCATAAGGGGTGTGTGCCCTCAGCTTTCCAGGGACTTAGGCCATCTTTCTACAGGTAGCTCATTTCCCACCTTCTTTATGCAGCATTTCCTACTGTTAACACAAAAACAATGAGCTCCCTCAGTATGCCACATTTCCAGCTAATTACTTCCCATGGGATTTCACATTTAGAGCCTGCAAAAAGTCCATCATTATCCTGATTTTACAGATGAGAAAACTGAGGTGGAATGCCCATTAGGCTATTATACTTGCCTTCTTTCCCCTTTCCCCACCTACCCTTCCTGGTGAGGAGAGTGCGAGGCAAAGTGACTAAGTCAGGTCTCACCATCTGGGAAGTTCCACCAAGCACATAGAGATACTCATTCTTGGAAACACAACACTAAAATATCCAGAAAAGGGCCAGGAGCGGTGGCTCATGCTTGTAATCCCAGTATTTTGGAAGGCCAAGGCAGGCAGATCACCTGAGGTCAAGAGTTCAAGACTAGCCTGGCCAATATGGTGAAATCTCATCTCTACTAAAAATACAGAATTAGCCGGGCATAATGGCACATGCCTGTAGTCCCAGCTACTTGGGAGGCTGAGGCAGGAGAATCCCTTGAACCCAGCAGGCAGAGGTTGCAGTGAGCTGAAATCTCACCATGCATTCCACCTGGAAGACGAGAGCAAAACTCCATCTTAGAGAAAGAAAAAAAAAAAGTCCAGAAAAGTGAGTCTATAGAGATAGGAATAAGATTTGTGGTGGCCTGGGGCTGGGAGATGGGAGCAGAAATGGGTGACAGCTGTGCAGAATTGATCTCGTTGTGTATTCAAAATGTTCTAAAACTGGCCTGGCATGGTGGCTCAGGCCTGTAATACCAGCACTTTGGGTGGCCGAGGCAGGGAGACCACCTGAAATCAGGAGTTCAAGACCAGCCTGGCCAATACGGTGAAACCCCATCTCGACTAAAAATACAAAAATTAGCCGGGTGTGGTGGCATATGCCCATAATCCCAGCTACTCAGGAGGCTGAGACAGGAGAATGGCTTGAACCTGGAAGTGGAGGCTGCAATGAGCCAAGATCACACCACTGCTCTCCAGCCTGGGCGACAGAGTGAGACTCTTGTCTCAAAACAAAACAAGAAAGAAAATGTTCTAAAACTAGATTATGGTGATGTCTACAAAACCAAGTAAATTTACTAAAACTCATTGAATGATACACCTCAAAGAGGTGACTTCTATGTCACTTATATCTCAATTAACAATGTTTAAGAAAACATTTAATTTTAGGTCAGGCTCAATAATTCTAAGTTAAATGAAACATCACAAGCTGACATCTTGGCAAGCCAAGGGCAAACATTTACGGCAAAGCCAAATGAAACAAAGTAACACAGAGCTTGCAAAGGGAATGACTGCCCAACCTGAATACACAATGTATCTAAGACAACTCCAGGAGATACAGAAAGCCAAATACCAGCAAACACTTCCCAACCCAGTGGTGTGGAAGGAAAGAATTTCCACTGGGATGAACATCCGGGCCAACAGAAACCCATCAGAAAAATTTATTTGTTGTCCAAATATAGGACATTGAATGGAAAAGTAAATAAAACAGGGAACTAGAAAAGGCTGAACATTTACTTTTAGACAGCAAACTATGAATCCAGCCCAAACTTCCCTTACAACATCACGCAGAAAAAGCAGATTAATGATCCCCAGGCTTGGTCCTCTGTTTGCCAGACACGTAAAGAAAAGAAAATTCAAAAAGGACAACTTACCCTGTGTTTTTATTGCAGTTAAAGATGAACTGGGAAATAATTAAAACATACAACCTCTTTTTGCAACTAGTGTTTCTAATTTTGTAAAACATGTCCAGGATGTTCAAAAAATTACAAAATTTAACTAGAAACTATCTAACTACTGGGTGGGTATGACCAGTGCTGACTGAGATAAAAATGAAATGTTCCCATGAACTAATCTTATTCTACATTTTGTTTGAGTACACTAACGTAACTAAAGTAATTTTGCTGACTTCAAATTTCCAATTATAAAGCTTCGCATACAATTATTCCAGCTAAAATTGATTTCCGTATAAAGATGAAAGCTGCTAATTTTAGTAAGCCTATTTTCCTAATGAGAAGTTACTGCTGTCACTGATATAAATTATATAGATAGTAATTCAACAATGCCATAAATAGTTTTATTTGTTTGTGTGTTTGTTTTTGAGATGGACTTTCACTCCTGTAGCCCAGGCTGGAGTGCAATGGTGTGATCTTAGCTCACCACAACCTCTGCCTCCTAGGTTTAAGTGATTCTCCTGCCTCAGCCTCCCCAGGCTGGGAGAAGCTGGGATTATAGACATGCACCACCACACCCAGCTAATTTGTATTTTTAGTAGGGATGGGGTTTCTCCATGTTGGTCAAGTTGGCCTCGAAGTCCCGACCTCAGGCGATCCGCCCACCTTGACCTCCCAAAGTGCTGGTGTGTCCGGGATTTATTCCTTCTGGTGGGTTTTGGTCTCACTCACTTCAAGAATGAAGTCGCGGACCTTCACAGTGAGTATTATACCTCTTAAAAATGGTGTGTCCAGAGTTTGTTCCTTCAGATGTTCAGATGTGTCCAGAGTTTCTTCCTTCTGGTGGGTTCGTGGTCTCGCTGACTTCAGGAGTGAAGCCGCAGACCTACACAGTGAGAGTTACAGCTCTTAAAGGTGGTGCAGACCCAAAGAGTGAGCAGCAGCAAGCTCTATTGTGAAGCTCAAAAGAACAAAGCTGCCACAGCATGGAAGGGGACCTGAGTAGGTTGCTGCTGCTGGCTCCGGTGGCCAGGTTTTATTCCCCTATTTGGCCCCACCCACATCCCGCTGATTGGTCCATTTTACAGAATGCAGATTGGTCCATTTTGTAGAGTGCTGATTGATGCACTTACAATCCTTTAACTAGACACAGAGCACTGATTGGTGCGTTTTTACAGAGTGCTGATTGGTGTGTTTGCAATCCTTTAGCTAGACACAGAGTACTGACTGGTGTGTTTATAATGCTCTAGCTAGACAGAAAAGTTCTCCAAGTCCCCACCCCACTCAGAAGCCCAGCTGGCTTCACCTCTCACTGGGATTACAGGTGTGAGCCACTACATCCAGCAAACTAATTTGTTTTCATAGTTTCTCTGGAGGTTAGCATATTCAGAGATTCCATGTCCCTGGGGCTTTTACCATTTGGCCTTATTATTCATTTCCTTAAGTACCTCTTGCACCTCAAACACCCAGAAACTCTACCTAGACAGTTGCCCTTCACAAGCACAGGAAATAAAGTCATCACTTAGGAAATAAAGTCAACTCTGGTGCAGGCTTCAGAGGTCAACCTGCTTAGGGTCATTCTGTGAGATACACTTTTGAGATACTACATATGGTGATTTGGCTGGCAAATAAGCAAATGAATAATTACGAGTGTTGTCACCCAACAACAGAGACAGGAGAGGATTCTAGTTCACAGCTGAAGCAATTCAGTGGTTTTCCACTGACCTGCTTGCAATATGAAGTCACCTGTGTAAATCTCAAAGCATCTGGCTAAACGCAAAATACATTATGCCATCTCTTTTCTCTTATAAGGGTGGGGCTGTGGGGGCATACAAAGTATGTCCCCAAATATACTCTGCATTTGCTTTATTTACACTTTATTATAACGGTCTTATGGGGACCTAAATGCACTGGTCTCTGGAGAGTGGAGACAGGTGCATGAAACGAGATACTTAAAAATTCTACTTTCTCTTTACAGTGAACAATGAAGTATTACTATAAAGAGAAGTAACAGGGTTTTTTTTAAAGAAAAGTAGACATAAATATTTCACTTTAGCAAAAGATGAGCATGAACCATGCTCAGCTATGCGTTATCCTGTTGGTGATGGTAGCGGCGGCCCATCTGGAGCAGCTGCTTGGAAAATGCTAGCTGAAGCAGGGCAGGCCTGGCTGAGGCCGCACACTCCATAGTGTTCCCATCAGGAGCTGGGAACACAGAGGCCCACCCTTCTAGGTGCAGCTGCAACCACCCAGCCACAGTTGTACCCGGGCATACCACTACTCTCAGGGGCCCAGGAAGGCACTGCCCCCACAGGCTCAGAAGTGCCTGATCATGCTGCCTGGCCTCTCCCCAATCCCAGCACCTGCTCCAATTTCAGAGCAAAGTTGAAGCCAAGCCTGAGTGCTGTTGTGACCCAGCTGGGTGTGTACACACTTGAGGCAACACTGACATGCTCAGCCTTTGCCACCTTGACCCCCTCCAGACTTTGGGCACTGATGAGCACAAGAAGGAGGCTGGAAGGCCAAGGGTAGCTCAGTGCAGGCTTGCAGGCACCCCTCAGCTTGGACAGCCTAGGCACCATGGACAGCATGTTGATGGACATGGGAGGCAGATAGGTTCCTAGGCAGGAAAGGGTGGGTTCCTGGTGAAATCCCACCTTCAGGCCAGGGATGGCCTGAAGCCTGGGGACCAGGCTGCCAGTTCGGGGTGGAGTCTGTGGCCAGAAGTCAGAGCTTATGGTGCTTTCTTTGGGTACATTCATGGACCCCATGGATCAATGAGCACACACTTCCTCTCTTCTGAGACCATAAAAACTCCGGACTCAGCCAGTATCAGCTAGACTTTAGGATGACCTGCCTGTGGAAAGGAGTTACCCACTTTAGGTCTCCTGAGAGCTGTTCTGTTGTTCAATGAAGCTTCTCTCCACCTTGCTCCCCTACCAACTGTCTACGTACCACATTCTTCCTGGATGTGGGATAAGAACTCAGGACCCACCAAATGGTGGGACTGAAAGATCTGTAACACAAACAGGGCTAAAACACACCCCTCCCTCCCTGTTTACCATGTTGCAGGCAATGAGGAGAGATGAGTTGTGGATTTTCAAAGTGGGATACCCAAGCCAGGGCTGTGATACCCTCTTTGGCTTTCTGCAGTTCCTCATGTCTCCAATCTTCTGGGTGCCACCACGTTCTCCTTGTCCAGATGCAGACGCCCACAACAAAAGCCACATGTGGTACATCTGGTCTAGCCACAGTCTCACACGGAGCCAGCACCCCACATTCACACAGACACCCCAGTGCCCTGTGCCTGGCTCACCCTTGGCAGGCATGGGATCCAGGCCAGTAGCACAAGCCAAGTACAGCCTCCCAGGCCAAGTGGGTGGAATGAACCCAGCAGGCCTGAGCAAAACTAAGGCAGAAGGCACCACCTCCCACAAAGGTTTTCCTCGGGCAAAGCAACACCCCAAGGAACCTGTGACATCAATACATACAAATCTACAAGTATTGTTCCCTGTAGGCTTTTTAATGCACTGCACCAGTATATAAGCATCATTTCATATAACAAAGTTACACTGCAAATGCATTATTCACAAAGGAGAAAATAGATGCAAACCCCAAAAATAATACATAAAAACAAAAGCTGGTATGTCAATCCTCTCAGTTAAACTAAAAGTTAAACAAACTAAAAATCTGATCTGGAAACCTGGAACTACTTGAAGTTGGCTGGCATTTAGCCTGATGAAAACCAAATCTTCAGCTATTCTCAGCAAATGGGCTCAGCCAAAAGACCTTAAGTTTGGCGGTGAGTCCTATTTCTCACCTCCACAACCCATAATGTGGTCTGAATCCTGTGTGTAATTTCTACATTTATTCACTCTGTAACACCAGTAACGTAGCAGCAACCAAATGACAATTTTCTCAACAACAACAACAAAAAAAAACTCTAATGTGAAATGCAAAAACAAAACTGTTAACAATAACCACAACAGACGAAATACGTGTCTGGAAAAAAAAAAGCCAGATTTAAGGCATACAAGAACTTTTATAACAACCCATTTCTGGCACTATTTCATGTTGCTATCTTTTAAAGTCAACCATCTCTGCAGCAAAATGTCTAACTCTCCACAACACCAACAGCACCTTTCAATGAAAGTGACTGATTTATAAACAGAATTACAGATTATGAAAACACTGGAGAGTCATAAAATGCTTAGCATTTTTCCAAGATTTCCTCATGCACCAGCAAACAAGATACTGTCATCTAGTTCTAAAACATATTTTTTCAGCTTTAAAACAACACGCAGGCCAGGTGCAGTGCCTCACACCTGTAATTCCAGCACTTTGTGGGGCCAAGGCGGGTGATCAACTGAGGTCAGGAGTTCAACACCGGCCAACATGGTGAGACCCCATCTCTAATAAAAATACAAAAAATTACCTCGACGTGTTGTGGTGGTGCACACCTGTAATCCCAGCTACTTGGGAGGCTATGGTAGGAGAATCCCTTGAACCTGGGAGGCAGAAGTTTCAGTGACCCAAGACCATGCCGTTGCACTCCAGCCTACGCAATAAGAGTGAAACTCTGTTTCAAAATATAAAAAAAGGCTGGGCACAGTGGGTCATGTCTATAATCCCAGCATTTTAGGAGGCCAAAACGGGCAGATCACAAGGTCAGGAATTTGAGACCAGCCTGGCCAGAACGGTGAAACCCTGTCTCTACTAAAAATATAAAAATTAGCTGGGCGTGGTGGCACACCTGTAGTCCCACCTACTTGGGAGGATGAGGCAAAACAATCACTTGAACCCAGGAGGCAGAGGTTGCAGTGAGTCTAGATAGTGCTGCTGCACTCCAGCTTCAGCAACAAGGCAAAACTCTGTCTTGAAAAAAAGAAAATACATAATTTGGAAAACAAAAAAATAAAAAATAATAGGCCAGACACGGCGACTCACATCTGTAATCCCAGCACTTTGAGAGGTCTAGGCAGATGAACCACAAGGTCAGGAGATCAAGACCAACCTTGCCAACATGGTGAATCCGTCTCTCCCAAAAATACAAAAATTAGCCAGGCATGGTAGCATGTACCTGTAGTCCCAGCTACTGGGGAAGCTAAGGCAGGAGAATTGCTTGAACCCGGGAGGCAGAGGTTGCAGAGAGCTGAGATTACACACTGCACTGCAGCCTGGGCAACAGAGCAAGACTCCATTTCAAAATAAATAAATTAGTTAAATAAATACATAAATAAAATTTAAGAAAACAACATACAGAATACACCAGATCCAAAAAGTGCAGTCCTGTCACTCCATGTTCTTTCTTCAATAAGTCAAATCACTAATATCTGTACTTCTCTGGAGCAATGCCTGATCTTTAAGCTGGTGGATATCAAAGTTACTTAGTGCACATACATGCACACGCAAGCTCACACATACCTGAGCAGCTAAAGCCAAAGGAAACGGGAGTACAACTGTGTCCCACCTGCATCCAGGGACTTTAGTATCACCCTCTCTTCTAGCCTTTGGGGACCTACATCAGTGATCTTTTTCATGTGTGTGTAACCTTATCAGTCAAAGTTTTAAGCAGGTGCTGCTAAGTCATGTAATTTATTTATTAAATATATAAAATACTCAACTAATATCATATGTATGTTTTCAAAGAAAATATGTATTTTTTGCAACTGTTGGATATTTTTAGAGAGCATTTTCATAGTTTCTCCCTGCACACCAATAAATCTTGCTGTGCACCTGCCAGAGGGCATAAAACTCACCTGGGAGACACTTTCAAGAATTAAAACCTGAGGCAAGTCATTTCTGTCCCTGTCCTTTCCCCAAATTTGGAGACTACCAACTTAAAGAAATCATACTGAGTCCCATGAAATTTATCAGAGCACAGCATGTCGTGTGTATTAGTCTGTTCTCATGTTGCTAATAAAGATATACCAAGACTAGGTAACTTATAAAGGAAAGAGGTTTAATGGACTCAAGTTCCACATGGCTGGGAAGGCCTCAAAATCATGGCAGAAGGGCAAACGAAAAGCAAAGACATGTCTTACCTGGCGGCAAGCAAGAGAGAATAAAAGCCAAGTGAAAGGGAAAACCCCTTATAAAACCATCAGATCTCAGCCAGGCACAGTGGCTCACGCCTGTAATCCCAGCACTTTGGAAGGTCCAGGAGGGCAGATCACAAGGTCAGGAGTTTGAGACCAGTCTGGCCAACATAGTGAAACCCCATTCTGATAAAAATACAAAAATTAGCCAGGTGCGGTGGCACATGCCTGTAGTCTCAGCTACTTGGGAGGCTGAGGTGGGAGAATCACTTGAACCCAGGAGACAGAGATTGCAATGAGCTGAGACCACGTCATTGCACTGCAGCCTGGGTGACAAAATGAGACCCTATCTAAAAAAAATAAAAATAAAAAACTCACTATCAGCGAACAGTATGGGGAAAACCACCTTCATGATTCAATTACCTCCACCTGGTCCCATCCTTCACACAGGAGGTTATTACAATTCAAGGTGAGATTTGGATGGGGACACAGTATCAACATGTAATATCCACAACCTTCTTTTTATCAGAGCACAGCATGACATGTAATACCCACAAGTTTCTCTCCCTGTTCTCATATGGTCTATGATAATTTCTGTCATGTACTGCCCAGAAGAGATTAATCATTCTTATTTTCACCAGCTTCTGAGCTGGGTGCACCTCAAAGATTGCCTCTTCTGGTTAGGGTTTTTGAAGTATCCTAATACAGATCACTGGAAGTGGCTGAAATTGGGACAGAACCACCAGTGTGTCTTGGTGAAACAAAGCAAGCCAAATGTGACTTTTTTCCAAAATCAAAATGGGAATTAAACCAAATCATGTCTCCCAGACTGATGTGTGACTGACAGAACTTGGCAATTGCCATTTTCAAGTTTATAATTTTGAATTCTTGAGTTTTTATCTACATGGAGCTGGCATTACAATTGTATAGAACTAGAATGCATGATAAGATTCTCTTGAAAGATTTGAAGGCAAGGACCCAAGTTTATTCTGACCCCCAAATGAACCAAATGGCAGGGACTTCAATTCCCTATTCAGCTGCTTTTAGAAAATACAATCAAAAACTGTGAAGCCACCTGGACTTTTATGGCAGCTGGGAATTACGTTTGCATACTGGCACTACCAATTTTTGCATGGCAGACTCTGATGACAGAACTCCACTCAACTTTTTCTTTTCTTTCTTTCTTTTTTTTTTTTTTTTTTGAGACAGAGTCTCACTCTGTCGCCCAGACTGGAGTGTAGTGGTGCAATCTCGGCTCACTGAAAGCTTTATCTCCTGGGTTCACGCCATTCTCCTGCCTCAGCCTCCTGAGTAGCTGGGACTACAGGCGTCCGCCATCACGCCCAGCTAATTTTTTTGTATTTTTAGTAAGACGGGGTTTCACCGTGTTAGCCAGGATGGTCTCAATCTCCTGACCTCGTGATCCGCCCGCCTCAGCCTCCCAAAGTGCTGGAATTACAGGCGTGAGCCACCGCACCTGGCCCAACTTCACTTCTCATCTTCCCATGGATGACAAGATATATGAACAACTGAAGGAGCACAGGTGTCCAGGTTCACACTAAGTATCACCCACAGTGCACCAGAAATGGAAATCATGGCTCAGTCCTACTGAATTTTTCTCCAGTTCTTAAAATGAGTTTATATGGTATCACTATATTAAAGTATTTGTTGTCCAAGTGTGGCAGCTCACACTTGTAATGTCAGCACTTTGGGAGGCCAAAGCAGGAAGACTGTTTGAGTTCAGGGGTTCGAGGCTAACCTAGGCAATACAGCAAGACCTGTCTCTACAAAAATTAAGAATTTTTTTTTTTAAAGCAGGGCATAGTGGCATGCATATGTGGTCTCAGCTACTTTGAGGAGTATCAGTTGAGCCCTGGAAGTTGAGGCCACAATGAACTGTGATTGCCCCACTGCACTTCAGCCTGAGTAACAGGGCCTGTCTCTAAAAATAGATAAGTAAATCGTTTGTTATAGGCCCAGCGTGGTGGCTTACGCCTGTAATCCCAGCACTTTGGAAGGCTGAGGGGGGTGGATCACTAGGTCAGGAGATCACGACCATCCAGGCTAACACGGTGAAACCCCGTCTCCACTAAAAATACAGATTAGCCAGGCATGGTGGCAGGTGCCTGTAGTCCCAGCTACTCAGGAGGCTGAGGCAGGAGAATGGCATGAACCTGGGAGGCAGAGCTTATAGTAAGTGAAGATCCAAGAACGCACTACTGCAGTCCAGCCTGGGCGACAGAGCAAGACTCTGTCTCAAAAAAATAAATAAAAAATAAAAGTAAATAAATGATTTATTACTGATGTAAGAAATAAAGTGCCACCACATATATACGTAAACTTCTTTTTCTCCAAATTCCTATCTATCAGGCAATTCAGCCAAGCAAAAATGCTTGCAGCATTGAATAATACTGCCCATTCACAGCCGGGCGCGGTGGCTCACACCTGTAATCCCAGCACTTTGAGAGGCCAAGGCAGGCAGATCACGTGAGGTCAGAAGTTTGAGACCAACCTGGCTAGCATGATGAAACCCCATCTCTACTAGAAACACAAAAATTAGCCAGGCATGGTGGCACACACCTGTAATCTCAGCTACTCAGGAGGCTGGGACAGAAGAATTGCTTGAACCCAGGCGGTGGAGGCTGCAGTGAGCTGAGATCGCACTGAGGGGTGGCTACATGCTAGCAGCCCTCGCTTGCTCTCGGTGCCTCCTCTGCCTAGGCGTCCACTCTGGCCACGCTCAAGGAGCCCTTCAGCCCCCTGCTGCACTGTGGGGGCCCCTCTCTGGAACTAGCGGAGGCCGGAGCCGGCTACCTCTGCTCCTGGGGAGATGTGGAGGTAAAAGCGTGGGCGGGAGCCGGGGCTGCGCGCGGTCTCGGCCTGCGCGCGTTCTGGGTGGGCTGTGGCCTCCGCGGCCCCGCACTTGGCGCAGCTGGCCGGCACCTGCCGGGCTTCGTCGGGGGAGTAGGCTCCCTCTGGGCTGCCGGAGTGCCCGGGCTGGGTGCCACAGAGTCCTGCAGCACGTGCCAGTGAGAGGTGAACCTGACTGGGCTTCTGGGATGGGTGGGGACTTGGAGAACTTTTCTTTCTAGCTAAAGGATTGTGTAAACACACCAATCAGCACTCTGTGTCTAACTAGAGGTTTGTAAACGCACCAAGCACTCTGTGTCTACCTGAAGGTTTGTAAACGCACCAATCAGCGCTCTGTGTCTAGCTAATCTAGTGGGGACTTGGAGAATTTTTGTGTCTAGCTAAAGGACTGTAAACGCACCAAACAGCACTCTGTCTACCTAAAGGTTTGTAAATAAATGCATCAATCAGCACTCTGGGTCTGACTAATCTAGTGGGGACTTGGAGAACTTTTGTGTCTAGCTAAAGGATTGTAAACCCACCAATCAGCACCTTGTCAAAACAGACCAATTGGCTTTCTGCAAAACGGACCAATCAGTAGGATGTGGGTGGGGCCAGATAGCCAGCAGCAGCAACCTGCTCAGGTCCCCTTCGGTGCTATGGAACCTTTGTTCTTTTGCTCTTTGCAGTAGATCTTGCTGCTACTCACTCTTTGGGTCCACACCGCCCTTATGAGCTGTAACACTCACCATGAAGGTCTGCAGCTTCACTCCTGAGGCCAGCAAGACCAAGAACCCACCAGAAGGAACAACTCCACACGTGCTGCCTTTAAGAGCTGTTTAACACCATGAAGGTCTGCAGTTTCACTCCTGAAGTCAGCGAGACCACAAACCCACCAGAAGGGAGAAACTCCGGACACATCTGAACATCTGAAGAAACAAACTCCGGACACACCATCGTTAAGAACTGTAACAGTCACCGTGAGGGTGCACGGCTTCATCCTTGATGTCAATGAAACCAAGAAGCCACCAATTCCGGACACAGCACCATTGCCCTCCAGGTGACAGAGTGAGACTCCATCTCAAAAAAAGAATACTGCACATTCACACAGACCCTAACAACAAGCAGGTCCATAATTGGAATGAGTCAAGCTACCCAAAAGGGACATGTATCCTTCTTCTTGCTCCAACATCATGGTGCTAGGGATACAGTTCCCAACAAACATGAAGGAAGGTTTTGGCATCTTGGAGAGCTGACTAGGAAAGTTACCAAGACAGGGAGAGCCTAACCTTCTCCCTCCTCTGGTATTCTAGCCTAAGCAGGTGTTCCTGAAAGGAAAGAGCCCTGTGCAGGCTGTCTGGGGTCATAATCTCAGTTCCAGGCTCAAGGGAAACATGCAGACAAAACTCTCATATTTTCTTTAAAGCATTCCAGTTACATCCACCAAGATAGGAAAAATGACATGAATTTAGGGTAGACACCCAGGTCAAGAATAAACACTGTTGGGAGCTAAAAGCCTGAGGATTGTGACGAACTCAGCATTCCAGTGGAGGCTATATGATCAAACAGCAAACTGTTTATCATGAATGCAGGATGTGTGCAAACTCACATCTGCACCTGCTGCCAGAAGGTTTGCTGAGGGCAGTCACTCCCTGGTAGCAGGCTCATTGAAGTTATCTACTTGAACATCTGGAGACTACTGTTCAGAGAATGCAGTCATGCACACCTGCATGACCACAGTCAAGCAGCTGACCACAACCACCCCCTTCTCCCTATCTCCTTTACTCAATAAATATGAAGGGCTCTAGGAAGTTCAGTAGAAGCAAGGAGCCCCTGACCCCTTCTTCCAAATATACTCTTTTTTGTCTTTATTCCCACGTCCCCCTTTGTTATGGTCCAGCAAGGTCCACAGCACAGCACTGTGAGTTTTGCCATAAGCATTGTTTGTGCTGCTTTCACAGGGTCTCCTGGGGCTGGAGAACTGCCGCACTGCCAGGAATCACTCAGTGGCACCCAGCGGCACAAAGAGCCTTCTGACTTGCTGTGGCTTCCTAAACTAAAATGTGTAACTTACCAATGTTTACCAAAATACTGCTTATTTTAATCATGGGAAAACTGCTCATCTAGGCACAGGACATAAACAACTGTAAGTTTATCCCAATGTTTATTTAACATAAAATGATCATCCTTAACCGGTCTGAAAAAAACATGGCCTCCCAGACCTTGAAATCCAAATTTTCACACCTGGGAGGGAGGGGAAGGCTTGAGGCCACTCTTTCAGCCCTTTAACTCTACATAGGAGGACATGCACATATTCTGTGACTTCACACAACCACTTCAGGCAGAATAAAAGACCCCGAAATACCAGAATAAGGATTATTCTAGAAAACGTCACTTCATATGAGATCACAGAAAGCGACATTATGACCCAAAGTAAAACACAGGTTAACAGCTTCTCAGAAGCTCAGAGGTAGCAATCCATTTTATTTCTACAATAAATAAATGCAAAAACAACTTGATATTTTTAGTCTGTTTTATATTCATATGATTAACCCACTGGGAAAACAGCAAACATTCTTCATGAATATACGTCCTGTTTTTAAAACTAAAGTCATGACTGTAATTTTCTGTTACACTTTGCATGTGAGGTGTCTTTTGGTAGGACTATGCAAAAAGGTGAGGATAACACTCTCTAAAGAGGACATCAAAAAAGACATCCCATCTCAACCAATGAGGCAGCGAGAACTGGCACAGAAAAAAAAGGAAAGCTTTTAGCAGCCTCAACAACACACCTGATTTTTTTTCACTGTGGTTTCTTACACACATTAAGAAGCTAAGCTGTTCTTTTCCTTTCTTTTGGTGTTGCCTGAAGTGTGCAAAAGCATAAAGTTCATGTGTCATCAGAGAGAGGAGTCAAGGATGGTACTGGAAGACTGGAGGGATTCACCTAGGGCATTCTACCATGTGTTCAAGAAAAGAGGATTACTTTGGGCCATGTTAGAAATAAAGCTCAAAGTCATAAATGAAATAAACACGCCAACAATTGGTTTCTCAGCAAGGCAAAGTTTACCTCTGCAGAAGGGTGCTGCTCATTAGTTTGGTCACCATGAAAGCACTCTGAACAAAGGAAAGCAGTCACTTTATCTTTAATTCATTGGGCTCCTACTGCCATGTCCAGTATCTGTTGGCTAGAGTTGGACTGCACAATCTAAGCTGAACCCAATTGGCTAATTTGAGAAGTGCAGGGATGTGGTTACAATAGTGAGAAAACAGTTTTAGTGGAGACAGAGAGTGTTTCGACCGGAGGGATGATTTACAGAGTGAGGAGCAGATGTGGAATGTGGACTCTATAGATAAAGACCAAGAGGAAGGTTGTTTCCCAGGGCAAAGGAACACAGAGAGTAAGGGAGTCTGGCCTTGAAAGCAGGGAACAAAGGACAAGGAAAGTTCAACAAGTTAACCCTTTGAAGAAGAATGTCTTACTGTATTTAACAGGCCATGATGTTGCCTTCTGTGGCACCTACAGGCAGGTGCCCCATGTTTGGGGCTGGGGGCAGAGTGACTGCCGAGAAACATGCTGTGGAGGATAGCACCATGGACATCTCTGGGCTTAGGGGAATGTTCTCTCTCCTGATTATGACATCCATCTATACACACATCAAAACACATAAAGCTACACAACCAAAGAGCCAATTTTACTATATGGTAATTTAAAAAATAAAAGTATACAGTTATAGTCCTAAAATTTAAGAGGGAAAGCCGGGCGTGGTGGCTCATGCCTGTGATCCCAGCACTTTGGGAAGCCGAGGCAAGTGGATCATGAGATCAGCAGTTTGAGACCAGCCTGACCAACACGGTGAAACCCCGTCTCTTCTAAAAATACAAAAATTAGCCGGGCATGGTGGTGCCCGCCTGTAGTCCCATCTACTCAGGAAGCTGAGGCAGGAGAATTGATTGAATCCAGAAGGTAAAGGTTGCAGTCAGCCGAGATCATGATTGCGCAACTGCAATCCAGCCTGAGACCCACAAGAGACAGAGCGAGACTCTGTCTCAAAAAAAAAAAAAAAAATATTTAAGGGAGAAAAGGTAACAGGAAAAAAAAGCAAGCAAGTTACTAGACATCCTAACTGATAAAGATACCTTTCCAGACCCAAATCCAAACTCAGAAAATAGGAAAATATAAGCATATTGGGCTCCAAGCATTATAATTCTATCTGCTTTAGTGGAGTATAGTTGCTCACAACTGTAATCTTAGCACTTTGGGAGGTCAAGGAAAGAGGATGGATCACTTGAGCCCAGGACTTTGAGACCACCCTGGCAACATAGACGACTCCTTCTCTACTAAAAATTAAAAAACAAAAATTAAAAAAACGCAAATATGGTAGTACAGACCTCTAGTGCCAGCTACTCGGGAGGCTGAGGTGGGGGACCTGCTTAAGCCCAGGAGGTGAAGGCTGCACTGAGCTGAGATCGCACCACTGCACTCCAGCCTGTGCAACAGTGAGACCGTCTCAAGAACAAATAGATAAGTAAAAATTCAAAATACATGAAAATATAATTCTAGCTCATTTAATATAACAAGCCTGGGAAATCTTTCTCCCCACACCCCCCACCCCACCCACCTTCTGTCTCAATGAGAATACTAATGCTACAGAAACTCTCCGATGTGCTCAAAGATGCACACAGTGCATGGCACAGTGGCTACAAATGAGGTTTCCCTCATAGCTGTACCCGGCCCCCATGTCCAGCCGAAACACAGAGTCCCTGAAAACAGGCATGACTCGGGGCAGCTCTGGGGCTCACTTGGACATGGGGACCAGAGGCTGGCTCAGGATGAAACATGCCACACAGCAGGACCTCACTTTAGAAGCCTTTTTCCTAAAGACACTTCAAAGAGGGCCTCCACTAAGTATAATACAGGTCCGTATCCAGCTGCCCCACCCTGTCTCATTTCAATAGCTGTAAGAAGAGAATGAGATGAAGGTGGCACACTAACTCCCTTCTGAGATTTCTTAGTGACCCTACACCACTCACAATTCACTGAGCACAGAGAGAAACCTTGTGCAACTTGTTCATAAGCAACTCCAAAGTATCAAGGAGCTGACCCTCCTTGTAAGTAAGACCTAGTACCTCTGTGATGATATTAATAAAGCCAAAAGGAAGGGGCTGAGAAACATGCACTAAGGGGGTACTTACATGTAGGGCTCTAGGAGACCTGTGCTGAAGCAGAGCTCGGACAGCTAGCAATGCCCCCGCTCCACTGCCTCCCCATTGTCCACTGTGACACCCGCTGACCTCATTTGTGATCATTCTGCAAAATCCACTTCCTACCTCCTCCTTCGCTTTCTCCTGTGAGCATCTGAAACTCTTACTGTATTGATCAGCAGCTGTGGTGATTTATTTACTAATACGTCACCCTAAAACTTGTGTGTCTTGACAACTACAGAAATTGATGTTTATTTTTCCTTGGCATCCACCTCCCCATCTCCCCCACAGGCCTTGACCAAAACGGGACTGAACAGTTCAGTGGTCCCCAATCTTTTTAGCATGAAGGAACACTTTCATGGAATACACTTTTCCATGGGGTGGGGTGGAGAATGGTTTCAGGATGAAACTGTTCCACCTCAGATCATCAGGAATTAGTTAGGCTCTCATAAGAAGCACAAAACCTAAATCCCTTGCATGTGCAGTTCACAACATGGTTCTCACTCCTATCAGAATGTAATGCCACTGTTGATCTGACAGGAGGTAGAACTCAAATGGCAATGCTCACTAGCCTGCTGTTCACCTCCTGGAGGTTCCTAACAGGACAACAGACCTGTTCCGGCCTGAGGCCCAAGGCTGGGGACTCTTGGTATAGCTGACTATACAATTGAGGTTCTCCTTGGCACTGGTGGCACTTGAGGCCAAACCATTCTCTGTGGTGGAGCCATCCTGTGCACACAGGGCACTGGGCAGCATCCCAGGGCTCCACCCACCAGATGCCAGGAGCTCCCTCTACCTTTTCCAGCTGTGGGAGCCCAAAAATGTCTCTAGACATTAGCAAATGCCCCCTTCAAAAGTGACGGAAAAAAGTGTCCCAAATAAGAGCCACTGGTTGGCTGCAACATTCCAGAACTCAGTGTTGAAAACATCGTTCCAATAAGCAAGCATATTGTCTACCTTCATTCCTTTCTTCTTCTTCATTTATTTACTTATTCATTTGTTTATATATTTTTGAGACAGCATTTCGCTCTCGTTGCCCAGGCTAGAGTGCAATGGCATAATCTCAGGTCACTGCAACCTCCACCTCCGCAGTTCAAGTGACTGATTCTACCTCAAGCTAAGTAGCTGGGATTATGGGCATGTGTCACCAAGCCCAGCTAATGTTCATATTTTTAGTAGAGGTGGGATTTTTCACCATGTTGGCCAGGCTGGTCTCAAACTCCTGACTTCAGGTGATCTACCCGACTCAGCCTCCCACATTGCTGGGATTAGAGGCTTTTTTTTTTTTTTTTTTTTTTTCGGAGACAGGGTCTCACTGTCATCAGGCTCGAGTGCAGTGTTACGATCTCGGCTCACTGCAACCTCCGCCTCTCTTTCTCCATTGGAAATCTGAAACTCCTCTTCTCAACCCAGGATCTCTTTGCCCTTTAGACACGTGGAGTTCTTCAGCCCTTTCCCACATCCAGCTTTTCTTTTGGTTCTGGTGGGTTTGTCAGGCTGGCCAGTGTGGTCCATTTGGTCAAGCCCCACAGAAAGGGTGGCCAGGAGTGTAGCAGGCAAGACCCATGGGGAAAAACTCGAGTGCCATCTCTGACTCAAGAGGTCAGTTACTTCCTTCACACGAAAAATAGTTATGGGGGAAAAAAGTTTACCTTTCCAATTAGAAAAAAAGTTTACAATATGCCTTTAGTGGTACTTCCCGGCAGGAACTGATTTTTCAATGTATGTGGTGGTGAAGGATTAACAACTTTTCAGGATGTAGCATACTAGCTTTTTTTGTTTTTCCCAAGTGGAGAAAAAGGCAAATGGAAGGCATCAGAAAAGCAGCACAATGATGGTCTCCTCACTGAGCAGAGAAGCTGTGATGATGAGCCAGGCCCGGAGGCCCACGGGCACTGCTTCGGAGCAAAGCACCAGAATCCGGACTCCCAGCAGAAAACTGGAAAGGGGCCAGGCCCAGGTTCTAGTGGAAGTGTCCTCCTATCCAGCAGGAGTGGGGCAGAGAATCTGAATTCCTGACACTCAGGACCTGCTGGAGATGGCCTCTCTCGGCTGGGAACATTTTTCTGCCTCTGGAGAATATCAGCCACCCAAGTTTCCAAGTGCTTTCAACCAAAGGCTGACAGGAGATGACACCAGAGTCCTGACAAGACACCAAAGAAAGAACAAATGGCAGGGGAGTTAATCTGGGAATTCACCTCTCTAAAGACACACAGTTCGGTTTTTCCCCTATCCTCACTGACAAATAAAATTTCTCATTCATTGCCATAAAAAATACAAAGACCCATACAAATGACATATCTACCAAGTAAGAAAAATAACATACTGACTCAAGACTGCTGTGCAGAAAACAGCTAACAGTCGTGATTTAAGGTTTTTAAAACACTTGGACTACTGGGAAGTCTCACCTTGTTGGAAGGATTCTTTATTAGTCTTTTAATACAGAAGACTTTGATCTCAAGAGACTTAACCTCGATACTTAGGCCTTAAACTTAAAGAACGGGAAGGGAAAGCCCAAGGTATCCAGAGTATGTGAGGGTCTGAAAATAACAGATATGGCACTACAGTACCTGGGCACAGGACTGTTACTGACAGAAGCACCTTTTATTTTACTTAAGCCTTCCACCTACACCATCCTGAGGGATATTTACCACAATCTGCTTAGGTTGGCAACATGGGGACTGGCAGTGTCATTTTTTAAGATGGGGAAACTGGGACACACAGCAGCTAAATGTGTTGCCCAAAATTCAACACTCAGTGAGGGACTCAAGCTTGGAGTTCTGTTGTTTAAATCAAAATTGGACCAAACCACCTCAATCTAAAACTAGAGGTTGTCAACTTCAGGTTAATAACCCATTTGCTGAAATCATTTTCCTGGCCAAATCACTGGCTGAAATGAGTCATTTTTTTAGAAAAATGAGCCCACCTGTGAGTTATTTTCAATTTCACTGGCTTCGCACCTTCCTCCACAAAAAGCACAACTCTCTTGACTGCTGTTTTTTGGTTGTAGTTGTTTGGGGTTTTGTTTGTTTGTTTGTTTTGAGACAGAGTCTTACTTTGTTCCCCAAGCTGGAGTGCAGTGGTGCGATCTCGGCTCACTGCAACCTCTCCACCTCCTGGGTTCAAGCAATTCTCACGCCTCGGTCTTCTGTGTAGCTGGAATCACAGACATGCACCACCACACTCAGCTAATGTTTTTTTTTTTTAATACAGAACATGTTTTCACCATGTTGCCCAGGCTGGTCTTGAACTTCTGACCTCAAGTGATCCACCCACCTCAGCCTCCCAAAGTGCTAGGATTACAGGCATGAACCACCACACCCAGGCATGACTGCTGCATTTGGTTTTGTTTTATTTTGTTTTTAAGATAGATTATTCCTCTGTTACTCAGGATGGAGCGCAGATGTGTGCTCACCACAGCCCAGAACTCCTCAGCTCAAGAAATCCTCCAACCTCAGCCTCCCGAGCAACTGGAATTATAGACTCGCACTACGATGCCCAGTTAATTTTTTAAATGTTTTTAGTAGAGATGAGGTCTCAAACTCCTGGCCTCAAGCCTTCTTCCCCGCTTGGCGTCCCAAAGTGCTAACATTACAGGCATGAACCACCATACCTGGCCAACAGTTTTCTTTATTAAGGTTTCACTGCAATAACTACAAAGTAACATACTCCAATAGAACTTTCTGCAAGTTTCCTGCTATCCAATATGACCGCGCATGACCACCTAACCTCATGCAGCCCCACAGTACATGAAATAGGGCTAGTACAACTGATAAAACAGAACTGTTACTTTCAATTAAGTCTAAATAGCCATATGTGGCAACTGGCTACTAAATGCAATGATAAAGCTATGGAAGAAACCATCTGATCCCCTGTGGTAGACTTTCTGTGACTCTGTTGATACATCTACATATACAAACACATACACACACAAACATACATACATGTATTTCTATAAGCATATTCAATGTAGAGTCTCCTGTGTGTGTACAATTTATAGATCTTTTGTTTCCCAGTGGGAAGATCCACACTAGATAGAAAAGCAAAGTAACACCAAGCTTAAGAGCTGGACTTTGGGGAATTCTAGTTCTGTTTTTTAAATTTACACATGAAAAATGATGCTTAAAAAGGCTGCAGGAGTTCAAAGTTACACAATTGCTCAAGGGCAAAGTAAACATGGTGGGCCCCTTCACAACTTAAGGACTAATGGGGACAAAGGTAGTTTTCTCTCAAACATACCTAGGTCATTGGAATCTGTCATTGTGGAGATTAACTCAGGGGCTCTAATCACCACTTTGTCAGCTCCCAAAAGCAGTACAGTCTCTTAGAAAGCTCTGTGAGAGAGACTCCTGGTGCCATCTCACAGATGAGAAAACCGAGCCTCCACTAGATAAAACAGACTCAAAACCAACTAGACTCCAAAGCCCCACACCATAATATATCTCCATGCAGTCCATTAAAATGCCCAAACTTTCCAGAGCAGTTAGATGATTTGTGTATCAACATGTGAAATGTAAAGGGAGACAGTCATAATTACTGGACTGATCAGCCTTGGGTAAAAGAAGACTAAGAACACCTAAAAACTCTTCCCACTCAGGATCCTAGTAGTACGCTGCAGTTGGTGACCAGGGCATCCTCTATCCTACCCCCAATCTAAAGTCCCCAAAACAGGGCTTTGCTTTGTTCGTGGTGTGCCCTGGGCCCAGCAGAATACCTGGCACCTAGCAGTAGATCAATGTATTTTTTAATGAACTGTTACCTTAAAAGGCAAAAAAATCTTCTAACTAAAATCCAAGATTATGTTGTACAGAACCAATGGTACTCCAGAATTGTAATCATTCACTTCTAAGAGTGTCTACAGTAATTTTTGCACACAGTGTTTTTTTTTTTTTTTTTTTTTTTTTTGAGACAGAGTCTTGCTTTGTCTCCCAGGCTGCAGTGCAATAGTGCGAAAGCAGCTCACTGCAACCTCCACCTCCCAGGTTCAAGCGATTCTCCTGCCTCAGCCTCCCAAGTAGCTGGGATTACAGGCACCTGGCATCATCCCTGCTAACTTTTGTATTTTCAGTAAAGACGCGGTTTCAGCATGTTGGCCATGCTGGTCTTGAACTCCTGACTGCAGGTGATCCACTCGCCTTGGCCTGCCAAAGTTCTGGGATTACAGGTGTGAGCCACTACGCCCGGCCCAGTTTCCTCTTTAAAACTGCTAGCAGAGGACTCCTCGGAGCCCAGTAAAGGGGCCAAATGCCTGGGAGTGAGGGAGCCAGGGTGGCAGAACTACACCATAAATTTCCATTTTTGCCCTACAGGTGTGTGTTCTACTAGGCCTGCAATCGCCTTAAGGTCCCCTTTTAATAAATGGATCCAGTGATGAACAACTTTTGTTGTGTCAGTTACCCAGCTCGGCGGCTTTCCACAAAAATCTGTAGCATATGTGAGACATGATTACTCTTTAAAATAAATGCATCATACTCAACATTTTCCTGTATTTTATTTTTCCTAATTGCACCTTTTCTAGGAAGGACTTCTAAATTTTTCATAAAATTGTCAAGAGCCACTTACCACACTGAGGCCACTGTCTGGGGAGTCCTGCCCCTCGCCTTCCAGGCTGAACCAGGGATTCTGGCGTGCCAGCAGAGGAAAACACCTAGAAGGCAGGTCAAGCCACTCATGACCATGCAAAACAGTTGCAAATAAAACAGAGGGTGGGATTTTGTTTCTTACTAGGTTTTGCTCCAGAACACCACCGATTCGAAAATAATCACATCGGTCCCTAACTTTGTGGAATTTTCGACGCACTTAGCTTGCTACAGCAACATGAGGTCGGTGCAATGAGTGAGCCCCTGCCTCCGGCATGACCACGCACAGTCGATGTACGTGAAGTCCAGGCCCTAGCCCAGCGCCGGCGGGACTCCAACGACCCACAGTTGTCACATATCCGGCGATCACTGACTCCCGAAAGCGGACGGCCCCGCCCCCTCCGTGAGAGAAGGTACCACTGGGAAGCAAGGCCGGACCCAGGATCTGCCAGACCCCGACCCGCCAGAACCTAGGATCAACAGGTCTGCGCTTTACCCTGGCGCCGCTCTGCAGACCCCAAACAGACCGGGGGCGCGGGGGGGGTTGCCCCCAGACTTGACTGCGCGCTGGGGCCAGAGAGATGGGCGGGGGAGGGGAGCTTCCGAATTCCTTGACGGTTTTGCGACTCAGAAACTGAGCAGACGCCGCGGGCCCGAGCCGCCTAGCCAGCCGGTCGCCCCGCTCTGCGCGACTGCGCTTCCACCCAGGTCGGGGCAGGCCGGCCCGAGTCCCGTGGATGAAAGGGACTCCCCTCCACCGGGGCGTGAAAAATCCCGCCACCTGCCCCTTCCGCCCACCAGCAGTGGCGCTGGGCCCAGCAGATCCCAAGAGCGGCAAACAAAGGGGCACCAGGAAGAAACCGAGTACTTTCCTAAACTTAGCAGCCGCCTCCCCCTTCCCCAAAGGAGCGTCTCCCGCCAACCTCCGTACACTCCCCACACGGCGCGCACGCACTTTGGGGGAGCGGAAACCTCCCGGTATTGTTGAGTCCAGGGAGCGCTCCGCACCCTAGTCCAAGTGCTGCGGTAACAGCTGGGGCCCTGCGTCTCCAGGAGTTCGTGGCGAGCGGAGCGTCTGGACGGCCGGAGCCGCCGGCAGGACCGCAGGGAGTCAGCGCCGTACGCAAAAGTTTGCGGACCCCGCGCCCGGCCCACCAAACACCTAGCACTCACCTCGTCGCTAGCAGCGCAACTGTGGCGGCGGCGCGTACCTGGCCGTGTTCTGAGCCTCTCTCAGGAGGGCAGCCTGTGAGGCCCGGCCGTGCGGCGGCCGAAAAGAGCCCGGCGCACCGGAGCAGCCGCGTGCCGCCCCTGGGCCGCCTCTGCCCCGCCGCCGCGGAGTCCCGGAAAGGTCGCGGGTACTGGAAAGTTTAGGTAACCAATGGCGACTAGAGAGCACTGCGGTGGCGGCAGCAGCGGAGCTGGGGTGTTGGCGGCTCCTCACTCCCGAGCGCGAATTGGGGGCACTGGAGCGGGCGCGGCGGCTGCAGCGACAGAGGGCGGGACTGCACGGCGGCGCAAGGGATTGGCACTGGCGGTGACCACCACTGGGAGCGGCCGCTAGCATGCAAACGCGGACCGGGAGGACTGAGAGCGAGAGGGCACCCACTCGCCGCGGCCCGCCCCTCCCCAACAGCCAGCTGAGGGAAACCCGCCTCCCACCAGCCCCAGCTCCAGCGCCCCAGTGGTTTAGATCCGGAACCAGCCCTTCCCCTAAGGAGGGTGGGGAACTGCGAACCGGCCCCTCCCCTATGCCGAGGGTGGGCGAGGGGAACCTGGGCCACTGCTAGACTGTTGCCTTCCCCCAACCGAAAAAGGAAGCCGCCCTCTGCCCCCACGGAACTCCCGTCACCTGTCCGAGGGTGTATCTCCGTCAAAATCGTCTTAGAAGACACCCCAGTTGTCATTTCCCATCTCGAAAAAGGGGACAGGCAGAGGCTCCCCCCTTTGCAAAACACCTCCCAGAAAAAGAGCCAGAAATTCTTAGGGACAAACTGGCGTAAAAGCCAGGAGCTGGGGTGTAGGAACTGAAGAGGAGGCTGGGAGACTCACCTCCACCGCCACTCCCAGGCTTCAGACCTCGGGCGTTTGTAAGGTGCTTTGCGTTGCCAGTGCTTACACGGACGGGCCCTGGTGTACTCAAGTCCCCAGCGCTCCTTCCTCCCTTCGCGCGCGGCCTTAATTCAGTTAAACAGATTTCCACTCCCCCTCCCCAGCACCTCTGAGGCCTGCCGTGTTGAATATTTTTAAATAAGTTTGCCCCTCCTTTTAGTATATGATGAGCTTTGTGCTAAGATCCCAGTACACTCAGCAATTTATAACCTCACTTGCTCCTCCTCCCGCGTTAGACGCTCAGGTTGTGGGGGGACGGGAACCCGAGATGAATTTTTAAGGGGTCGATCCTCCAACAAAAAAGCTCAGGTTGTGGGGGGACGGGAACCCGAGATGAATTTTTAAGGGGTCGATCCTCCAACAAAAAAGCAGACCTGAAAATTACCCTGCGAAATATTGCTGTAAAAACATCAATGATATGAAATCACGGTTGCTACACCATCATTAGAGCACATCGATAAAAAAATACACATACACAGTCTCCATAATTGTGAATCAGCAGAACAGATTGTGTCTTATTATGTCTTATCAGCTGCCATTCAAAGGTCTCCAGACAGACTTGGGACCTTCCACTGAGCCTGCCCTTCATTGCTCCCGGACTCCCTGGGCTTGTGTAAACTGATGCTGAGGTATTGCATGCAATCGAAAAACGAAGGGTGCAAGAGAAAACCCAAGCGAGCTCATGATGCAACCCTACCCTGGCTACACGTGCTTCCCTTCCCCCACCGCCTTCTGGTGGAAGCGCTGTATTTTTTCCGCCTGTAGGGTCACTTTGCGGTTAATTGATTCTTCTATAGCCTTGCTCGTTCAGTTTTGGAAAGTAAAGAGTAGAAGTCTTTACAGCTCTGGACTTAACAAGGACGCAGCCCTCGGCTACCGCACCCTCTCAAGTAGCTGCACAGCCAAACCGTCCTCCTAGCCTGCCACCCCTGCTTAGCGCTTGGAAATTCCAAACTGAACTTGGTTAAAAGACCTCTTTGTATGTTCTAATTACTTGGCAGATGTCAATCTTTTAAAGTAGGAGAAAGTGATGGAAATCCTCACTCTAAAACGGGAGCACAGGGTAGCCAAGTTTTGCAGCTGATCTTCTGTAGCTAACTGCAAAACAGCTCAGAATCCATCCTGCCTGTATCCCACCGGGTTTACTGCCCTTATAGTCAATAGCTTTTATCATAGGCTTATAGAACACCAAAGGACACTGTAACACTAAGGCAGGAAGACAGAACTCCTCTATTTATCATGCAATCACCAAAATTCCTCTTTCTGAAATGTTAGGTGGGCGGTAGATAAGTGATAGACTGTGTTATTTAATGCTTCGAATTTTTCAAATGTGCAGTCCTACCAGGTGGGAGAAAACAAGAAAATAAAGTTGGAAGGAGCTAGTGCATTCTGACAAAGCGAGCCACAATAATTTCCACAGATACCCACTGCACTAGAGATGTGTGTTCCCGTTATTTTCTGTGTGTGTGTGTGTGTGTTCCAGTTATTTTCACTTACTAATTGGAGGCAGGGGAAAAACAAATCTGTTTGCAACAAATGTCACCAACAGTACCTGGAAATTTTTTTTTTTTTTTTTTTTTTTTTTTTGGAGACTGACTTTCCCTTTGTCTCCCAGGCAGCAGTGCAGTGGCACTATCTCGGCTCACTACAACCTCCGTCTCCCGGATTCAAGTGATTCTCCTGCCTCAGCCTCCTGGGTAGCTGGTGTTACAGGCATGCAGCACCACACCTGGCTAATTTTTGTGTTTTTAGTGGAGAACGGGTTTCACCATGTTGGCCAGGCTAGTCTCAAACTACTGACCTCAAGTGACCTGCCCTCCTTGGCCTCCTAAAGTGGTGGAATTACAGGCATGAGCAATCATGCAGGCTGAGTATCCAGAATTCAAATTAAAAGCCAGTAGGGGCTGGGTGCAGTGGCTCATGCCTGTAATTCCAGCACTTTGGGAGGCCCAGGTGGGTGGATCACCTGAGGTCAGGAGTTTGAAACCAGCCTAATCAATACGGTGAAACCCCGTCTCCACTTAAAATACAAAATTAGTTGGGCGTGGTGACTTGCACCTGTAATCCCAGCTGCTCAGGAGGCTGAGACAGGAGGATAGCTTGATCCTGGGAGGTGGAGATTGCAGTGAGAGATCAGGCCACCAGCCTGGGCTACAGAACAAGACAACATCTTAAAAAAAAAAAGGCAGTAGGAATCCACAAAAAGTCTGGAATGCAGTGGTGTGGTCTCAGCTCACTACAGCCTCCTACCTCAGTCTGCCAGGTAGCTGAGTCTACAGGCGAGCACCAGCATGCCTAAGTGTTTTGCATTTTTTGTAGAGTTGAGATCTCACCATGTTACCCCAGACTGTGTCAAACTGTCTGCCTCACATTCCCAAATTGCTGTGATTAGAGGCTTGAGCCATAGCACCCCACCTCAACTAATCTTTGAGCAAGGAGCAAAGGCAGTTCATTCTTTTTAACTCACGGTGCTGGAACAACAGGACATCATATGCAAAAAAAAAAAACAAAAAACAAAACTCTAGACATAGACTTTATACCTTTCACAAAAAATAAAATAGACAATAGCCCTAAATGTAAAAGACAAAACTATAAAAACTCCCAGAAGATAACATAGGAGAAAACCTAGACAACCTTGGGTTCGGCAATTACTTTTTTTTTTTTGGAGACAGAGTCTCTCACTTTGTTGCCCAGTCTGGAGTGCAGTGGTGCCATCTTGGCTAACTGCAGCTTCTGCCGATTCAAGCAATTCTGCCTTAGTCTCCCAAGTAGCTGGGATTACAGGCACCTGCCACCACAGCCAGCTAATTATTTTTGTTTGTTTGTTTTGTTTTCTATTTTTAGTAGAAATGGGGTTTCAACATGTTGGCCGTGCTGGTTTTGAACTCCTGACCCTAACTGATCCGCCCACCTCAGCCTCCCAAACTGGTAGTGTTACAGATGTGAGGCACCACATGCAGCCTGTGATGACTTATTAGATAGAGTAGCAAAAGCATGATGCATCAAAGAAAAAATAAGCGATGTGAGCCACCCACTGCTTTGAGAGCATGAGGCTCAGGAGTTCAAGATGAGCCAACATGGTGAAACCCCATCTCTACTAAAAACACAAAAATTAAATTAGCAGGCGTGGTGGTGCATGCCTGTAATCGCAGCTACTGGGGAGGCTGAGGCATTAAAATTGCTTAAACCCTGGAGGCGGAGGTTGCACTGAGCCAATATGGTGCCACTGCACTCCAGCCTAAGTGACAGAGCAAGACTCCATCTCGGACAAAAAAAAAAAAGAAACGATGTTAGACATCAGTAGAACTTTAGAAGTGTACAAAAGACATTTAATACAGTGAAAAAAACACATCACAGAGTGCAAGCAAATATTTGCAAAATCCATATCAGATGAAGGCTTGTACTTAAAATGTGTAGGTCAGCATGGTGTCTCACTCCATAATCCCAGCGCTTTGGGAAGATGCTTAGGTAGGACTGCTTGAGCCCAGGAGTTTGAGGCTGCAGAGGGCTGTGATAAACACCACTGCCCGCCTGCCTAGGCAATAGTTAGGTCCTAATTTTTTAACTATCTGTGTGTGTGTATGTATTATGTATATAAGTATGTGTATATACATATGTATGTGTATGTATGTGCATATATAATTGTATGTATATGTATGTGTATATATGTATGTGTGTGCATCTCTGTGTATATATACATGTATGTATACATACATATATATGGTATGTACATAGTGTGTATATATATTATTCTACATATATGCACATTGTATTAGTCCATTTTCACACTGCTGATAAAGACATACCCAAGACTGGGCAATTTACAAAAGAAAGAGGTTTAATTTCTCTTACAGTTCCATGAGGCTGGGGAAGCCTAATAGTCACAGTGGAAGATAAGGAGAAGCAACTCATCTCTTACATGAATGGCAGTAGGCAAAGAGAGAGAGCTTGTATAGGGAAACTCCCATTTTTGAAAACCATCAGATCTTGTGAAACTCATTCACTCTCCTTAGAACAGCACAGGAAAGACCTGCCCCTATAATTAAGTCACCTCCCAATAGATTCCTTCCACAACACATGGGAATTGTGGGAGTTCCAATTCAAGATGACATTTGGGTGCCAAACCATATCGCATATAAACATGAATATAGGCCGGGCGCGGTGGCTCACACCTGTAATCCCAGCACTTTGGGAGGCCGAGACGGGCAGATCACGAGGTCAGGAGATCAAGACCATTCTGACTAACGCGGTGAAACCCCGTCTCTGCTAAAAATACAAAAAATTAACCCAGCATGTTGGCAGGCGCCTGTAGTCCCAGCTACACGGGAGGCTGAGGCAGGAGAATGGCATGAACCTGGGAGGCGGAGCTTGTAGTGAGCTGAGATCACACCACTGCACTCCAGCTGGGGCAACAGAGCAAGACTCAGTCTCAAAAAAGAAAGAAGGAAAGAAAGAAAGGAAGACAGGAAGAAAGAAGGAAAGAGGAAGAAAGAAAGAAGGAAGGAAGGAAGGAAGGAAGGAAAATAGAAAAGAAGGAAGGAAGGAAAGAAAGAAAGAGAAAGAAAGAAAGAAAGAAAGAAAGAGAAAGAAAGAAAGAAAAAGAAAGAGAAAGAAAGGGAGAAAGAATAGCAAATGCATTGGACTTATTGGTGAGATATTTGTGTGCCAGAGGCTGGGAAAGAAATCTTACTAAAATTCAGGGACTTTCTACCTCCGTAAGATTCCTAGGGGTCCAGTGGTGTGAGACTTGTCAAGATATTCTTTTTACGGTGAAGGATAAGTTGCTGTATTTGGCCCCTCCTACAACCAAGAAAGAGGTACAATGAGTAGTGGACCTATTGGATTTTGGAGGCAACACATTCCTCATTTGGGTGTGTTACTCCAGCCCATTAATCAAGTGACCTAAAAGGCTGCCAGTTTTGAATGGGGTCCACAAATGGAGAAGGCTCTGCAACAGGTCCAGGCTGCTGTGCAAGCTGTGCTGCCATTTGGGTCATATGACCCAGCAGATCCAATGGTGATTAAGGTTTCAGTGGCAGATAGAGATGCTGTTTGGAGGCTTTGCAGGCTTCCATAGGTGAATCACAGCAGAGGCCTCTAGGATTTTGGAGCAAGACCCTGCCATCTTCTGTGGGTAACTACTGTCCTTTTGAGCGATAGCTCTTGGCTTATTACTGGGCTTTGGGGGAAACTGAACATTCAACTATGGGTCATCAAGTCACCATGCAACCTGAACTGCCTATCATGAACTGGGTGCTTTCTGAGCCATCTAGCCATAAAGTGGGTCATGGACAGCAGCATTCCATCATCAAATGGAGGTGGTATATATGTGATTGGGCTGTAGTAGGTCGTGAGAGCACAAGTAAGTTACATGAGGAAGTAGCTTAAACACCCAAGGTCTCCACCCCTGCCACCCTGTCTTCTCTCCCCCGTCCTGCAATGATATCCTTATGGGGCATTCCCTAAGATCAGTTGACAGAGGAAAAGAAGAGTATGGCCTGGTTTACAGAAGATTCTGCACGATATACAGGCAACACCCAGAAGTGGACAGCTGCAGCACTACAGCCCCTTTCTAGGATATCCCTAAAGGATAGTGGCAAAGGAAAGTCTTCCCAGTGGGCAGAACTTTGAGCAGTGCACCTGGTTGTGCACTCTGCATTAAAGGAGAAATGGCCAGATGTGAGGTTCTATACTGATTCATGAGCTGTAGCCAATGGTTTGGCTGGATGGTCAGAGACTTGGAAGAAGCATCATTGGGAAATGGGTGAAAAACAAATTTGGGGAAGAAGTATGTGGATGGAACTTTCTGAGTGGTCAAAAACTGTGAAGATATTTGTATCCTATGTGAGTGCCCACCAATGTGTAACCTCAACAGAGGAGGATTTCAATAATCAATGGGATGGAATGACCTGTTCTGTGGACACCACTCATCCTCTTTCCCTAACCACCTCTGTCATCGCCAAGTGGGCCCATGAACAAAGTGACCATGGTGGCAGGTATGGAGGTTATGCAGGGGCTCAGCAACATGGACTTCCACTTACCAAGGCTGACCTGGCTATGACCACTGCTGAGTGCCCAATTTGCCAGCAGCAGAGACCATCACTGAGCCCTTAATATGGAACCATTCCTTTCTCAAGGTGATCAGCCAACTACTGGTAGGAGTTGGATTATATTGGACCACTTCCGTCATGAAAAGAGCAGAGATTTGTCCTCACTGGAATAGACACCTACTCCAGATATGGGTTTGCCCATCCTGCATGCAATGCTTCTGCCAAGACTACCATCTGTGGACTCACGGAATGCCTTATCCACTGTCATGGTATTCCACACAGTATTGCCTCTGACTCACTTTATGGCTAAAGAAGTGTGGCAGTGAGCTCATGCTCACAGAATTCATTGGTCTTACCATGTTCCCCATCATCCTGAAGCAGCTGGATTGATAGAACAGTGGAATGGCCTTTTGAAGCCACAATTACAATGCCAACTAGGTGACAATACTTTGCAGGCCTGGGGCAAAGTTCTCCAGAAGGCCATGTATGCTCTGAATCAGCATCAAATATATGGTACTGTTTCTCCCATAGCCAGGATTCATGGGTCCAGGAATCAAGGGATGAAAGTGGAGGTGGCACCACTCATCATCACCCCTGGTGACCCACTACCAAAATGTTTGCTTCCTATTCCCACAATATTATGTTCTGCTGGCCTAGAGGTTTTAGTTCCAGAGGGCGGAATGCTGCCACCAGTAGACACAACAATGATTCCACTAAACTGGAAGTTAAGATTACCACCTGGACACTTTGGGCTCCTCCTCCCTTTAAGTCAATAGGCTAAAAAGGGAGTTACAGTGGTGGCTGGGGTTGACTGACCCAGATTATCAAGATGAAATCAGTCTACTATTTCATGACAGAGGTAAGGAAGGGTATGTATGGAATACTGGAGATCCACCTGAGGTCAGGAGTTTAAGATCAGCCTGGCTAACATGGCAAAACTCTGTCTCCACTAAAAATACAAAAGTTATCTGGGCACGCAGCCAGACACAGTGGCTCATGCCTGTAATCCTAGCACTTTAGGAGGCTAAGGCAGGCGGATCACCTGAGAACAGGAGTTCAAGACCAGCCTGACCAACATGGTGAAACCCCATCTCTACTAAAAATACAAAAATTGGCCAGGCATGGAGGCAGACACTTGTAATCCCAGCTGTTCAGGAGGCTGAGGCAGGAGAATCACTTGAACCCAGGAGGCAGAGGTTGCAGTGAGCCAAGATCACATCATTTGCACTCCAGCCTGGGGGACAAGAGCAAGAATTCATCTCAAAAAAAAAAAAAATTAGCTGGGCACAGTGGCATGAGACTGTAATCCCAGGTTCTAGGAAAGTTGAGGAAGGAGAATCGCTTGTACCCGGGAGGCGGAGGTTGAAATGAGCCAAGATCAGGCCACTGCACTCCAGCCTGGGCAACAGATTGAGACTCTGTTTAAAAAAAAAAAGGAATACAGGAGATCCATTAATCTCTTCATATAACCATGCCCTATGATTAAGGTCAATGGAAAACTACAACAGCCCAATCCAGGCAGGACTGCAGATGACCCAGACCCTTCAGGAATGAAGGTTTGGGTCACTCCACCAGGAAAAAACCCACAACCTGCTGAAGTGCTTGCTGAAGGCAAAGGAAATACAGAATGGGAAGTAGAAGGTAGTCATCAATACCAGCTACAACCATGTGACCAGCTGCAGAAACAACCACAGTAATTGTCATCAGCATTTCCTCCTTCTTTTGTTAAAAACATGTTGGTGCATGTATACACCTGTACTAAGAAAATATCTTCATTTTATTTTCTTTCTCCTTTATCATGTGACATAAGATATATTGACTTCATATGACCATTTAAGTATATTAACCTTATGTAATAGCATTTGGGTTGGGGATTGGTGCATTTCCAGTCGTACGAAGGATAATTGTATTATGTTAGCCATAATTATGACCTAACATAATCTCAGGAGATGTGTATGGGCTCACGTTGACAAGGTGTGGACTTGTGATGGTTAATACTGAGTGTCAACTTGACTGGATTGAAGGATACAAATTATTGATCCTGGGTGTGTCTTTGAGGATGTTGCCAAAGGAGATTAACATTGAGTCAGTGGACTGGGAAAGGCACTAGTAATCAGCAGCCAGTGCAACTATAATATAGGCAGGCAGAAAGGAGAGACTGGCCTAGCCTCCGAGACTACATCTTTTTCCCATGCTGGATGTTTCTGCCCTCAAACATGGAAGTCCAAGTTCTTCAGTTTTGGAACTCGGACTGGCCATCCTTGCTCCTCAGCCTGCAAAGGGCCTATTGTGGGACCTTGTGATCATGTGAGTTAATACTTAATAAACTCCCTTTTATATGCATATATATTCCATTAGTTCTATCTGTGTAGAGAACCTTAATACAACCAATCTCCCAGGCATGTGTCCTTAACTTTGGCAGGTAAATATAAGGTGGGACACTAGGGTGAAACAAGTTTAAGGGAGTGCCAAAAATGCAGTCATCAAGATATATAATATTATAATGCCATATTTTATTTATTTATTTTTGACAGTTATGAAATGTATGTTTATTCTGAAACTTCTAACTAGTTGTACAAGTAACTCATGACAAAGTACCAGATTAATTTTACTTTATCTCTTCAGGCCTGGGGTTTTTCAATGACTTCAAATTTGGGATCTTCAAATTTGAAGTGGGGAACCTATTCATGTCTACTTTATCATATATTTGCTCAAGCTTAAAAGCTCCCTCTCCAGCACTTGCTGATACTGTGGACTGGTATCAACAGGTCCTCCAGATGTCTGTCGCTTAGATTTGTATTCTCTAATCTTGTCCATAAAGAGTTTCTGTAGAGGATCAAGTTCTTATTAAATGCCACTGCAGTGGCTCACGCCTGTAATCCCAGCACTTTGGGAGGCCGAGGTGGGCAGATCATGAGGTCAGGAGATCAAGACCATCCTGGCTAACATGGTGAAACCCTGTCTCTACTAAAAATACAAAAAATTAGCCAGGCATGGTGGGGGACACCTGTAGTCCCAGCTGCTTGGGAGGCTGAGGCAGGAGAATGGCATGAACCTGGGAGGCGGAGCTTGCAGTGAGCCAAGATCACACCACTGCACTCCAGCCTGGGTGACAGAGCACAACTCTGTCTCAAAAAAAAAAAAAAAAAGCCACCGCAGTAACACCAACGTTCCTTCGCAAGTGGACTGAGCCTGCTGACCAAGTGACAGAGGAGAACCTGAAGATCCTCTGAAGAATCATGCTGATTCTTTTTCTTTTTTTTTTTTTTTTTCTGAAAGGGAGTCTTGCTCTCTGGCCCAGGCTGGAGTGCAGTGGCACAATCTCAGCTCACTGCAACCTCTGCCTCCCAGTCAGGCAGCACTCCTTTCACCAGGGCACTAGCTGTGGGGAATCTGTCCCTTACAGACCCCTGACCCAGCGATGGAAGAATAAAGTACACTGACACATAGATACTCTGCTTTGCCAATCCAGCTGAGGGTCCGAGGCCTCTCACAGACTCCAAGGAGAGTCCTGTAAAGAATGGCAGCCATAGCCCTCAGCAGTTTGCACTCTAGGCATTTATTTAGTACAGAATTAACAACAGAAGCTTTGAGTAAACACACCTGTGGATAATTAACATGGTTAAGAGAGTATTCTACGAATGTTTAACCTCAGATACCGAGGTCTAAAGTAAATACCATTACAGACAATTTTCCTGGTCGACCTCCTTGCCCGCCTGCCCACAGAGGGCCATCTGGCTCAATGGTTAGTTAATGGAGGTAGGGTAAACAGACTTAACTGTGGAAACCTCTATTGACCCTAGTATTTACCCTATGACCTAATGCTCTAAGGTAAGAAATGGCCACCTTCAGCCTGTTCAATTATTACAAGCTATATAACCTTTCAGCCTTCCAAAAAGGTCGTGACTATTCTCTATAACCTTCCCTAGTATTTCCCTTTAATATTTCTGCCACCATCCTGAGTGATTTCCCTAATACTTCCCTTTAATATTTCTGCCACCATCCTGAGAGAATCCCAACACCTGGGTTCAAGCAATTCTCCTGCCTCAGCCTCCCAAGTAGCTGGGATAACAGGTGAACACCATCATGCCCAGCTAATTTTTTGTATTTTAGTAGAGATGGAGTTTCAGCTTATTGGTCAGGCTGATCTTGAACTCCTGACCAGGTGATCTGCCCGCCTTGGCCTCCCAAATGGCTGAGATTACAGGTGTGAGCCACCGTGCCAAGTGGAATCAAGCTGATTTTTTTTTCCTTTTTTTTGAGACGGAGTTTCATTCTTGTTGCCCAGGCTGGAGTGCAATGGCACAATCTCAGCTCACGGCAGCCTCCACCTCCTGAGTTGAAGCAATTCTCCTGCCTGCGCCTCCCGAGTAGCTGGGATTACAGGCATGAGCCACCACGCCCAGCTAATTTTGTATTTTTTTTTTTTTAGTAGAGACCGGCTTTCTCCATGTTGGTCAGGCTGGTCTCGAACTCCAGACCTCAGGTGATCCGCCCGCCTCGGCCTCCCAAAGCGCTGGGATTACAGACGTAAGCCACTGCACCTGGCCCATGCTGATTTTACATTAGGTGGACTCAGTACCCAGCTGCAAAAGCTGCGGCAGTGGCCACACGGTTCTACTTCCGGCCCTGGTTCCGCCTCCCACATGCCTACCGCCATCGCAATGCATTCTGGGCCACTGTTTCAGTCGCTCAAGCCTCACTGGACAGGAAGCTCTCTTCCTGTTGCTTGGATGGTCCTTTAATGCCATATTTTAAAAGGCAAAAATTATGCAGATATTCCATTGTGAACAAAATACCAAAATATTAAATAAAGCTTACTGTATTTGATGATGATGATGGATTCTAAAAAGCAGAAATGGCCAGTGCCTCAGGCCCAGCCACCCATTCAGACAAGGTGAAGGTGATTGGAAAGACTTGCCCAAATCAAATGTACGCTGAGAGGAGCAGAAACTAGTCAGCAAAGGAAGAACTGAGTGGATAGGAAAAGTACTAGATCAAAAGGGGCAGCAGATTTTGTTCTGGCAAGGCTTTTATAGTTTCAAAACATATTCAAACATTCTGTCACTGATTGTCATAGTAACGTATGAGGTGGTTGGGGAAATATCATGATCATTTTACAAAGGAGAAAAGTTGATTTTTGGGTTAGGGGCTGCATTAGCTTCCTGTCACTGCTGTAATATATTACCACAAACTTAGTGGTTTAAACAGTTCACATGTATTATCTGATAGTTCTGGAGGTCCAAAATCCTGAAAGAGTGTCACTGGGGATGATGGTTAATTCTACGTGTCAACTTGGCTGGACCTCAGGATGTTCACATAACTGCTTAAACATTTTTTCTGGATGTCTCTTTCAGGGTGTTTCCAGATGACATTTAGCATTTGAATCGCTGAACTGGGCAAAGTAGATCATTCTCCCTGGTGTTGTGGGCACCCTCCCAACCCACTGAGGGCCGGAACAGAGCACATAGAGAGAGGATAGCTGTATTTGCCCTTCTTCTGACTGACAGCTTGAGCTGGGACATTGAAGTGTCCTCTGGGCTCGAGGTGCTCAGGCCTTCAGACCTAAATTGGAGTCTACACTATTGGCTCTTTATCTCTCAGGCTTTTGAACTATTCCACTAGTCTTGCAGCTTGCAGACAGCAGATCATAGGCTTCTCAGCCTCCATAATCTCATGAGCCAATACCTTAAAACTGAATGCCTTTATATGTATCATATGGGTTCTGTTTTTCTGAAAAGAAAAACACATTGGGTAATATCAAGATGTCAGCAAAACTGTGCTCCATGGCCAGGTGCCATGGCTCATGCCTGCAATCCCAGCACTTTGGGAGGCTGAGGCAGGAGGATCACCTGAGTGATCATGTGGTCAACGTAGAGAGACTGCATTGCTTAAAAAATGAAAAATATGGCTGGGCACGGTGGCTGATGCCTATAATCCCAGCACTTTGGGAGGCCGAGGTGGGCAGATCACCTGAGGTTGGGAGCTCAAGACCAGTCTAACCAACATGGAGAAACCCTGTCTCTACTAAAAATACAAAAATTAGGTGGGCTTGGTGGTGCATGCCTATAATCCCAGCTACTCAGGAGGCTGAGGTGGGAGAATCGCTTGAACCCAGGAGGTGGAGGTTGTAGTGAGCCAAGATCATGCCACTGCACTGCAGCCTTGGTAACAGAGTGAGACTCTGTCTCAGAAAGAAAAAAGAAACAAATGAAAAAATATTAGCCACGCATGGTGGCATGTGCCTGTACTCCCAGCTACTTGGATGGCTGAGGTGAAAGAGGATTGCTTGAGCCCCAAGAGTGAAGGCTGCTGTGAGTTATGATCATGACATTGCACTCCTGCCTGAGTAACACAGGGAGACCCTGTCTCTAAAAAAAAAAAAAAAAAAAAACCGACCAAAAAAAAAAAAAGGCCAATGTGGTGGCTCATGCTTGTAATCCCAGAACTTTGGGAAGCCGAGGCAGGGGAGTCAGTTGAGGTCCGGAGTTTGATGGCCATCAAGGACACTTGAGAGGCTGTGTTCTTACTGAGAAGACTTGCAGCTCTGCACACAGGTGGGTCACTAGAAGTAGGTCACCATTTCCACTGTTGAGAGTAATCTGACTGAAGCTAATGCATTATTTAGTTGATTTATAGAAATAGGCAGCCTATAGGGTATGTTTTGAGGCACACACTTTAGTCCCTGGGAGCCCCAAAGAGCTAAGTGTTCCATAAACAAATGTGACAGGTGTCCTGTGTCAGGCCTAGCAGCAGACCATCATTCTTCTGTGCATCATGTTGCTCTCTTCTTTCCCTCTGTGGAAGGAGTGAGACTGCCTTAGGGGCTTTGGTCTGTATCTGTGGACTCTCAGTGATTATCTGGCCCAGATCATACACTTGACCCAACAAGGAAATTCTGTCCCCATTACTGAATTTCCAACTTTTGTCAGATAGACAACCTTTTCTCAGTTTCCAAGACTTTAGCCTTGAAACTTTCTGTGACTACTTCTCCTCTGCACCAACACCCAACAAATCCCCACAAGCTTCCCATCCAGCCCCTTTTGCCTTTGCCACCCATATTCATCTACCCTTTTCTTCCAGCCCCACTGCCCCTGCTTGGGACCTCTTTCCCCACAACTGGACTCTTCCAGCATTCTTTGAATCATCTCTGCCTTTACCCAGCTTTAACTATAATGTGTCCTTTTTCTCTTGGGTTGCTCTGGCATCTATAATGACTCCCTGCTCCTCCCCACCTACTTCAATCCTCTCACCTCAGGTTCCTGAGTAGCTGGAACTACAGGCATGTGCCACAATGCCCTGCTAATTTTTAAATTTTTTGTAGAGATGTGGTTCTCACTATGTTGCTCAGGCTGATCTTGAACTCAAGGGCTTAAGCAATCCTCCCACCTTGGCCTCTTGAAGTGCTGAGATGAAAGCTGTGAGCTACCATGCCCAGACCACTTTGTATGTCTTTGTCTAACACTGAAGGATGGAATTAGAAAACACCAAGAAGAAAACATGAATAATCTTATATTAAGCACTTGAAATACTACATCTTTCTGCCAAAGCTGGTTGAAAAAAATACAGTAACATGCAGCAGAAATAACTCATGGAAGACAAAGGTATGGTGGGGTGGGGAAGAAAAGGACGAGCGCAAAACAGAATATTCCAGCTGGTGGGTCTAGTTAATGGTTCTTTTCAACTTTTAGTCACTCATTTCATATTCAGTTGCAGTGTCTATTGCACCAGCCTTGGGCTAGTTTGCATTTTGGTCTGTAATACCAATGCAGAAATAATCAGTGTGTCTTACCTGTTTCCAGATGACACAATTCTATATACAGAAAACACCATCATCTCAGCCTAATAACTCTGTAAACTGACCAACAACTTCAGCAAAGTCTCAGGATACAAAATCAATGTGCAAAAATCACAAGCATTCCTATACACCAATAACAGACAAACAGCCAAATCATGAGTGAACTCCCATTCACAGTGGCTACAAAGAGAATAAAATACCTAGGAATGCAACTTAGAAGGAATGCGAAGGACCTCTTCAAGGAGAACTACAAACCACTGCTCAATGAAATAAAACAGGATACAAACAAATGGAAGAACATTCCATGCTCATGGGTAGGAAGAATCAATATCGTGAAAATGCCCATACTGCCCAAGGTAATTTATAGATTCAATGCCATCCCCATCAAGCTACCAATGACTTTCTTCACAGAATTGGAAAAAACTACTTTAAAGTTCATATGGAACCAAAAAAGAGGCTGCATTGCCAAGACAATCCTAAGCCAAAAGAACCAAGCCGGAAGCATCATGCTACCTGACTTCAAACTATGCTACAAGGCTAGAGTAACCAAAACAGCATGGTACTGGTACCAAAACAGAGATATAGACCAATGGAACAGAACACAGCCCTCAGGGGCTTTAAATTCATCACAAAGTGATAGGTGTGAGGGTTCTGCTGGACAGAAACACAGGGACTTTATGGTGCTATCTCTCGAGTGAATTCCTGGGAACTAGGGACATTGCTTGCCACAGTACCTTATCAGTTAATTGGACTCTTTGATATGCTAAGAGTCAGCTTACACAAGTTAACTCCTTGAGGAAGGGGGTGGGTAAGGAGTCCTTGATGTCTTGCAAATGAAGGAGCTAAATGGAGTCCATCAGGTTTTCTCAGCTAAGGGAGAGTCTATTCATATTAAAACAAGGTTATATAGCTAATGGAGAGTCTATTCATGTTAAAAACAAGATTAGGTATTACATTCCTCACTTGTGTTTTTGTGGAATAAAATTGTTGATTCCTCAGTTATAACAAGGGAGTCATATTGGGTTTTAAGATACATAAGCTTGACAGAAGCTATGCACTGTTTTTACAAAATTAAGAAACCAGTTTAATATATACAGCTTGAAGATTAAGCCTAACAGCAGGAGGAGAAGGGGTCCAGCTACCTGTGACTAGAGTAGTTAGCCATGGATTCCAGTTAAACATGCTTTGATACCAGGGGATGTTATTTTCTCGCTTTTGTTGGTGTCTATCTAGATTTTCTCGAATATTTTGAAGAGTATCTTTTATGACTCCAGACTGATTGGCAGAGAAGCAACAACTCTCTCCTAGGGCTGTGCATAAACCTTCTTGGGAGAGGAAGAACTACTTCAGCCAGAGACTCTATTTGGGTATGCAGTATATCTATGGCTGGATGGAGGTTGCTTAAATCAGCATCTACCTGTTGAGACAGAGACATTAGTCTAGTTTCTCCTTGAACTAGGGCAGCTGTGCTGATGGCTGCTGATCCAGCTATGCTAAGGCTGGCCAGGAGGGGAGCTAGGAGCAGGGCGGCTTAGTGAAACCTGGGATGCAATTCAGTGGGAGTGATGAGGAGTTGTCCTTCTGGTCCACTGTACACAATACCTGAGGAAGTACAGGAATTAACGTGCACAGGAGATGTCCTAGTTCAGTTCCATTGATGCAGCGAGTGAAACTTGAAGTGCAGGCTAACTAGGTATTGTTAGGTGCCCGATAAGAGACTGAAGTACTTAAGGAAGTAAGCAGGGATTGATTACAAGTAGCCTGAAAGGGAGAACCAGATAAGTTATATCCAGTGCTAATTAGACAAGAAGCATTCCTAGACATGACACATCTCCTAGCATAAGGGCATGGGGTCATGCATGACAAGATAGTGGAACACTTTTAAGCATGGCTTCTACTCCTAAGCCCACATAATAAGGGGGCTTGTCCTTCAGGCATAGCCAACAATCTTGAGCTAGTTTAGGCTGGGTGAGATTAAGGAGGTGAAGTACCCCCCCAGTATGGACATCAGGCTGGGTTGGAGATGTCGTTGCAGCTGGGGTTTAGGAACTAGGAATGGTGGCAGAAGAGTTAAATCGCTTTTGTCTGGGTGTTTTTAGAACATAGGGTTGCCTAGATCAGTTAAAGGCTTAATTGGCTTAGGAGGCCTCCATGAGATTAAGATTTTTTTTTGGATGGTGAACATAGTTCCAACATCAAATCCCAGGATATAAAGCCTTAATCCTCATGACATGCCATAGTACCATTGAGCTGAATTAGGGTTGTGAACGATTATAGTAAGAGGATTACAATTTTTTGTAGTACACAGTCTAGGACAGGAAGCACAAGCTATGGAAAGAGTTGAAGATCAGGTTAATCCCCCAGGATAAGTGGCTAAAGTTACCCATGTCTAGTCAGGGCAGAAAAACTGGTAAGTATCTCGACAACTAGAGTCAGGGTGATTTCCAGGACAGAGGTAAAAGTCAACATTTTGGGGTCCTTTTTCTGCACCTTTGGAGCTCCCACATCCAGTCTGGCTCCTGGAGTGTCTAAATCCTGCTGCAAGGTTGAAGTTTCCTGCTCCTATGACCAGCAGGTTGCATTGGTCTTTGTGGGTATGGGTAGGTTCTGGAAACAAAGCACATAAATCAACTGCAAAAGAAACTTCCTTGGAGGTTCCTGCCTTCCACGTAGGGTTTGCAAATACACGTCTTGTGAAAGAAGTGAGGAGAAAAGAACAGGAAGGCGCAGAGGACATAACAGGTGGAAACAGACAAGAGAGGTAAATAAAAAGAATTAATCTAATGGCTTCACTTGACTTAGACACAATTTTAGGGGCTTGGCCTAGGCTTGGGAACTTATGTTTCCTGCTGTCCTTTGCTGGCTTTTTTGATATGGGAGTGATGAATCCAAGCTGGAATCCACCTTCAGACCCATAGGTGTGGTGAGGATGACAGTATGAGGTCTTTTCCAAGCAGGAGTGTATCCTTCTTTCTGGAACTTTGTAACAAACACCAGGTCACCCAGCTGGAATGAGTGGCAGGGCCCCATCCTGTCAGGACCTGGATTGGAATGAGCTCCCCAGACAAGTGGCTGGATGATATCTCACATCTTTTTTGGAGAGACTGTAGGTACTGTAATAAATTAGCTTGTGAGATTTCTGCTAAATGAGTGTCCCTTAGCTTAGGCAAGATAGGCGGTGCCTTCCCATACATGATTTCAAAAGGTAAAAACCCAGCCTGGTAAGGAGTGCATTTTACTCTAAGAAGGTCTAAAGGAAGGAGTCTTACCTAATTCTCACTGGTCTCTAAGATTAATTTTGTAAGAGTACTTTTTAGGGTGTGATTCATGCGTTCTACCTGTCCAGAGCTCTGGGGTCAATAGGCACAATAGAGCTTCTATTGAATGTTTGATGCTTTACTGACTGACTGAGCTATGGACAAGGTGAAGGTCAGTTTATTATTGGAACTTATGGCAGCAGGCAGCCTATATCGAGGGATGATTTCATTGAGTAAATACCTAACTATTGTGGTGGCAGTCTCATTTTTGGTAGCAAATGCCTCAGTCTATCTGGAGAAAGTGTCTACTAGTACCAGAAGGTATTTGTACCTAGCCTGGTATGGTTTTATCTCTCTAAAGTCAATTTCCTACCTTTCTCCTGGTGAGTTTCCTCAGAGGCTGTGGCCTGAGCTGGGTTTAGGGCTTTGCCTGAGTGCACACCATACACCAGAGAGCTGCTTGATCTGCTACGTTCTCAAGGTGAGGGATCTTGAAACGGCTCCTTAGGAGCTGGGCTAGTTTTGCTCCTCCTAAATGGGTGGTAGAATGCAGATGAATGATTAAAGTTTCCCGGCGAGCTTGTGGTATGAAGATTCTGGAGTCAGGAAATATCCACCAACCTTTCTGATTTTTATTGGCCTGGAGATCTGAAGCCAGTTTTATTTCTTCTGCTGTGTATAGGGGATCGGTAAGTCAGGCTGTGGAAAAGATATGGCAGGCAATAAGGTTAGAGGCATGACTGGAAGTCATACTGCCTCACATGCTGCAGAATCTGCTGTCTGGTTACCACGGGCAATGGCGGTGTCTTCTCTTTGATGTCCTTTGCAGTGAATTACAGCCACCTGCTGACAGAGCCATACAACTTTAAGAAGGGCTAGAATTTCTTCTTTGTTTTTGGTAGTCTTTCCTGCTGAGGTGAGTAGCCTATGCTCTTGATAGAAGGCTCAGTAACGAATGCACAGTAACGAATGCATATCTACTGTTAGTGTAAATGTTAATACATTTGTCTTTACTTCATCAGAGAGCCTGTGTGAGGGCAACCGACTCAGCTCTCTGAGCTGAGGTGCCAGCTGGTAGAGCTTGGGCTTACAGACTATCTCTCTGTAGTAACGGCTGAACAAGCCTTTCGTACTCCCTGTTCGAGGAAGCAGCTACCATTTATAAACATGCTGGCATCTGCCTTCTTTAGGGACACTTCTTGGAGATCAGGTCAGCCAGTTTCCCTAGTTTCTAACAGTTCCTGGCAGTCATGGACAGGTGTAGTGAAGTTTGGATCAGGGAGTAAAGTAGCTAGATTTAAACACCTTATGGAAGAGAAAGTCAAAAGAGGCTGATCTAACAGTAAACTCTGATACTGCTGTAGCAGGAGAAGCTACAGACAAAACCTCTCAGACACGGAGTTGTAGAAGGAAGGGCTTTATTCAGCTGGGAGCATCAGCAAGCTACTGTCTTAAAATTTGAGCTCTTCAAGTGCACAATTTCTGTCTCTTCTAAGGGCTCACAACACTAAAGATTTCACATGAAAGGGTCGTGATTCATTGAGCAATCTGGGGGATACACGATGGGGCTGCATGCACTCGTGGTCAGAGTGAAACAGAACACAGCAGGGAGTTTAACAATGTTCTTTTATACAATGTCTGGAATCTATGGATAACATTGGGTTCTAAGTCATGAGTTGATTTTTAATAACTAGGTTTAGGCCAGGCAGGCCCAGGCCTGGTTTTGGGTCTGGTGCCTGGCACCAGGCTGCTGCCTTTGATTTCACTTCCTTGCTTTTTTCTTAAAACAGGTGCTAGTATAAAGCAATATAAAACAATATGAGAGGGTCTCTCTCTTCCCTCACTGCAGGATGCAAGCATTCAACATCCTGGAGTTGTTCTAAAATGCTCCTGGTGACTCTTCAGGCCCCTGGACAACTTCAGTCATCTTAGACAAGTTTATGGGTTTCCGAGCGGCTCTCTTGATGCCTGCAAGGAGATACCAGTGAAAATTGTCTAAAGCTCTCTTCTCACATGAGGAGTTTGGGTCGCAATTAGGCCACGTAGAAGGAAAGACCTCCTCAAGGAAGTCTCTGGTTTCGTCTTCCAGCCTATTGGCTGATGTGAGGAAGTCCATTTAGCTCCATTTTATTATTAAGAACCTAGCACCACCAGTGACAAGTCAGCCAGGCACACTGATTTTGCTTAACTTTCTTCTAAAAGTTCAGGTGAAAACAAAAGTTCCCTAAGCAGACATTAATAGCTGCAAAAATACATACAATATCTTGCTATGAATTAAATCGACTCTAATGAGGCTTCTGAGGATATTAAATGTTTTAAACAGAACAGTAGTTAAAAATGGAGAGCATATGTAAATAATCTGGGATTTTTTTCCTTCAAAGTTATTTTGGGGCTGAAAATTGCAAGTGGAGGAAGATAACTAAGTGATACTTAAACCAGTCTTTCTCTTGATCTTGTTTCATGGTCTTCACCTAAAGCTCTAGGGAAACAGTGAGTGCTCCAGGTTGTTGAGATGAAAGGTCTAAACAGATGACTGAGAATTGGTGAGTGAATGTGGGCCAACTTGTGAAGGAGCAAAATTTCCCATGCTGCTGGCTTTTTAACTATTTCTTATCTCATTTCTCCCAACCCCAAGGTATATGGAACAGGCTTGGCAGGTTGGGCAGGGGTCTTCATGATCCTTGTCCTTTTGTGGGATCCTGGCCTCTTAATTGTGGGTAGGTCCTATGTTTTGCTTCTAACAAGGAGAATATGGCAGAGGAGATGGGATGCCACTCCCGTGATAAGGTTCCCAGAGACATGCTCTTGAAGAAGCAAACATCTATGTAGCAAGGAAAAAAAGGCAGCCCCAGGAACCCCCCAGCCAGCAGCTAGCAAGAAACCAGTGCCCTGAGTCCTGCAGCCAACAGGAAATGAACTCTTCCACAACAGAGGGAATGCTCTTTTTTTTTTTTGAATCAGGGTATTGCTCTGTCACCCAGGCCAGTGTGCAGTGGTGCTATTACAGTTCACTGCAGCCTCAATCTCCTGTGCTCAGGGCATGTTCCCACCTTAGTGTACTGTGTAGCTGGGACTATAGGCATGTACCACCATTCCCAAATCACTGTGACTCTTTCATTTGGCCAAACGATAACTCCAAAAAACAATTTTTTTTTTTTTGAGACAGAGTCTCACTCTGTCACCCAGGCTGGAGTACAGTGGCATGATCTTGGCTCACTGCAACCTCCACCTCCCAGGTTCAAGTGATTCTCCTGCCTCAGCCTCCAGAGTAGCTGAGATTACAGGTTTGTGCCACCACACCCAGCTGGTTTTTGTATTTTTAGTAGAAACAGTGTTTCACCATGTTGATCAGGTTGGTCTGGAACTTCTGACCTCCTGACCTGCTTGGCTTGGCCTCCCAAAGTTCTGGGATTACAGGCCTGAGCCACTGCACCCAGCCCAAAAATTTTTTAAGCAGAAAAACCTTTACTCTGATAGAGGACTTAACTTTCCAAACAATGATACCCAAAGAAGATAGCATGAGGCCAACCGAATCTCTCTCTCTTCTCTCCTCCCCTTTTTTCCCTGCCATTTACCCAAATGGATAAACACCTTTTATTATGTTTTAGTATTACATAAAAATCTTTTTCAAAAGAGAAAACTAAATTTCATGTTTTCGTTAGTGCATCTTTGATGTTAAAGTTAGTTTTTTAAGTTATTTTTTTAAATAGAATTTTATTTTATTTATTTTTATTTTTGAGACAGAATCTTGCTGTGTCACCCAGGCTGGAGTGCAGAGGTGCAATCTCAGTTCACTGCAACCTCTACCTCCTGGGTTCAAGCGATTCTCTTGCCTCAGCCTCCTGAGTAGCTGGAGTTATAGGTGCCCACCACCAAGCCCAGCTAATTTTTGCATTTTTAGTAGAGACAGGTTTCGCTATGTTGGCCATGCTGGTGTCAAACCTCTAACACCATGATCCCTCCACCTCAGCCTCCCAAAGTGCTGGGATTACAGATCGGATCCATTGTGCCATGCCTATTTTTTTTTATTTCTATAAATATAATCTTTTTTTTTTTTTTTTTTTTTTTTTTGAGACAGAGCCTCACTCTGTTACCTAGAGTGGAGTGCAGGGGCACTACCTCAGCTCACTGCAACCTTCACCTCCTGGGTTCAGATGATTCTCCTGCCCCAGCCTTTGGTGTAGCTGGGACTATAGGTGCACACCACCACAGCCAGCTAATTTTTGTATTTTGTAGAGACAGGTTTTCACCATGTTACCCAGGCTGGTCTTGAACCCCTGACCTCAGGTGTTCCACCCACCTCAGTCTCCCAAAGTGCTAGGATTACAGGCATGAGCCACTGCACTTGGCCTTAAAATAAAATTTTATATTTCCATCGAGTTTTAATTAGTTTGACCATAAGGTAAAATTTTCATAAACTTTTTAGAACCCGTTACAATTTTCCATCAAACAGCAGATCAATTTCCTAAGAAAACTCTGTTATTCAGACACATGGGTCCAGATTCTGGCCCCATATCAGTATGATTTTAATGCTTCAACCTACAGAAAAAAAGCTAAATAATTTCTTTCAAATCTTAGTGAACTTGTTTATACCCGCAGAATTTTGTTTATATGAACAGGCATTTCTCAAAAGAAGATATTTATGCAACCAACAGACATATGAAAAAAGCTCAACATCATTGATCATTAGAGAAATGCAAATAAATGCAAATAAAAACCACAATGAGATACCATCTCATGCCAGTCAGAATGGTGATTATTAAATGTCAAGATCAAAAGATCCGGTGAGACTGTGGAGAAATAGGAAGGCTTTTACATTATTGGAGGAAATGTAAATTAGTTTGGCCATTGTGCAAGACAGTGTAGTGGGGCAGAAATACCTTACAGCCAGAAATACCATATGACCCAGCAATTCCATTATTGGGTATATACCCAAAGGAATAAAAATTATTCTACTATAAAGACATATGCACACATATAATTATTGAAGCACTATTTACAACAGCAAAGACATGGGACCAACCCAAATGCCCAACAATAATAGACTGGACAAAGGAAATGTGGCACGTATATACCATGAAATACTATTCAACCATAAAAAGGAATTGCAGGGACATAGATGAAGCTGGAAATCATCATTCTCAGCAAACTAACACAGTAACAGAAAATCGAACACTGCATGTTCTCACTCATAAGTTGGAGTTGAACGATTAGAACACATGGACACAGGGAGGGGAAGACACACAGTGGGGCCAGTCGGGGGCAAATGGAGGGAGAGCATTAGGATAAACAGCTAAGGCATACAGGGCTTAAAACTTAGATAATGGGTTAATAGGTTTAGCAAGCCACCAGGGCACATGTGTAACATGTTCTGCACATGTATCAAAGATTTTAAAGTAAAAGAAAAAAAAAGAATAACACCCCAAAAACAAAAACAAAAAATAGGTAATACTAGCTTACTTTCAATAGCAGAAAACAACAAAATCTTTTATAACACAGCACTCCTTAATGTTGCTATTATCACAAATTTACATCTTAAAACATTTGACATTGTATGTTCATCAATATAAATTTGTAATTATTGTTTGAATCATTTGCTTTTAATACAAAAAATAAATTAAAAGCAAAAAATGCAATATTATGTTTTTGCAGTTACTCATGGTGATGTTTTCCTTCATTTTTATTTATTTTTTCATGTGGCTTTGAGTTGCTGTCTAGTATATTTTCTCATTAGCATTTCTAATATGGTAGGTCTGCAGTGACAAACTCATTTTTCTTTTAATCTGTAATGTCTTTTTCTCCTTCATATTTGAAGAACTATTTTGTGAACTATTAAATTCTCCATTGATATTAACAATTTGTTTTAGTATTTTAAATATGTTATGCCAATGATTTCTGACCTCTATGGTTTATGAAGTGATACTGTCTGTTAATTGAATTGAGGATTTTTGTGTGTGTGCGATGAGTCAGTTTGATGCTTTCAAGACTCTTCTTAATTGACTTTTGACAGTTTGAGTATAATGTTTCTTTGTCTTTAGCATCATCTTTTTTGTGATTCATTGAACGTATATTTGTAGATTTATGCATTTCTTGAAATCTGAAGAGTTTTTAGCTTTTGTTTTTGAAATATTTTCTGGCTGTTTATATTGTTATGTTCCTTCTGTTACTCTTATTATGTGAGTGGTTGTATTCTTAATGGTATTACAAGTGTCTCAGCCCTTGCTCATATTTCTTCATTCCATACTGGTTTTCTTTTTTTTGTATTTAAGAGATGGGTTTCAGTCTGTCATCCAGGCTGGTATGTAGTTGTGCAATTATAGCTCACTGTAACCCTCAACCGTAGGCTTGAGTGATCCTCCTGTCTCAGCCTTTCTAGGAGCTAGAAATACAGATGTGTACCACAATGCTTGGCTAATTTTTATATTTCTTGTAGCAATGGGTTCTTGCTATATCGCCCAGGCTTGTCTAGAACTTCTGGGCTCAAATGCTCCTCTAACCAGAGTTTCTCAAAGTGTTCAGATTTCAGATATGAATAAGTGCACCCAGCTATCCTATTTCCCTTCTGCTCTTCAAAATGAACAATATCAAAGACTACCTTCATGTTTATCGGTTATTTCTTTGATCTGTTAAAAGGTGTTGAATCATTCTGGTGAAATTTTTATTTCAACTCTTGACTTTTGTTTGTTTTCATAACTTTCATTCCTTTATTGAGATATTCTGTATTTGATAATACATTGTTTTTGTTTCATTCAGTATTTTTCTTTATGATTTTCTTTAGGCCTCTGGTTATATTTTAGATAGATAATGTTAAGTCTTTGTCTAGTAAGTTCAATGTCAGGGCATTCTATGAAGCAGACTATTAATCAATTTTCCCCTCTGAATGCATTTTGTTTCTTTTTAATCTTCAACTTTCATTTTATTTTCAGAGAGTAGATGTGCAGGTCTGTTATACAGGTGAACTGCAAGTCCCTGGGGTTTCATGTACAAATGATTCCACCACCCAGGTGATGAGCATAGTACCTGATAGGTGGTTTTCTTTATTCTCACTCCCATGCCACCTTCCAACATCAAGTAAGCCCAATGTCTATTGTTCACCTGTTTGAGTTCATGTGTACTAAATATTTAGCTACCACTGATAAGTGAGAACATATGATATTTAGTTTTCTGTTTCTGCATTAATTTGCTTAGGATGAGAGCCATCTGCTTCATCTATGTTGCTGCAAAGAATAATTTCATTTTTTTGACTGTGTAGTATTTCATGGGTATATATACATCACATATTCTTTATCCAATCTGCCATCAGTGGGCATCTACATTGATTTCATGTGTTTGATATTATGAACAGTACTGTGATAAATATATGTGCAAATGTGACTTATATGGCAAAACAAATTATATTCATTTGGGTAGATGGCTAGTAATAAGATTGTGGGGACAAAGGATATTTCTGTTTTAAACTCCTTTGAGATAGAGTCTCGCTCTGTCGCCCAGGCTGGAGTGCAGTGGCACAATTTTGGCTCCCTGCAAGCTCTGCCTCCTGGGCTCATGCCATTCTCCTGCCTCAGCCTCCTGAGTAGCTGGGACTACAGGTGTCCACCACCACGCCCAGCTAATTTTTTGTATTTTTAGTAGAGACGGGGTTTCACTGTGTTAGGATGGTCTCGATCTCCTGACCTCGTGATCCGCCCCCCTTGGCCTCCCAAAGTGCTGGGATTACAGGCATGAGTCACTGCATCTGGCCTGTTTTAAATTCTTTAAGGAATCTCCAAACTGGTTTCTGCAGTGGCTGAACTAACTTATATTCCAACAGCAGTCCGTAAGCATTCTCCTTTCTCTGTGACCATGCCAACGTCTGTTATTTTTTTACTTTTTACTGATAGACATTCTGATTGATGTGAAATGCTATCTTACTGTTGCTTCCATTCACATTTCACCAATGTTAGTAAATGCTGAACTTTTTATTTCATATGCCTGTTGACCTCATATATATCTTCTTTTGAGAAATCTCTGTTTATGTCTTTTGCCCATTTTTAATACAGTTGCTTGTTTTTTTATGGGTTAGTTTAAATTCCTTACAGATTCTAAATATTAGACCATTGTCAGATGGACGATTTATAACTCTGGGTGCCTGAGTTTAGATGCACATATATTTAGAATTGTTAAGTCTTGTTGTTGAATTTAACCCTTTATCATTATTTTAAAGCCTTTATTTGTCCTTTTTGATTATTGTGAGTTTACAGTCTGTTTTGTCTAAAATAAGAATAGCAACTGCTCTTCTTTTTAGATTTTGCCTTGCTTATTGGATCTTTTTCCATCCTTTTATTTTGAGCTTGTGAGTATCATGGCAAATAAAATGGGTCTTTTGAAAACAGTATACTGCTGGGTCTTGCTTCTTTATCCAACTTGTGACTCTGCTTTTTAAGTGGGATGTTTAGCCCACTTGCATTCAAGGTCAATATTGACATGTAAGATTTTATTTCTATTTATTTATTATTTATTTACTTTATTTATTTATATTATACCTCTGGATTACACGGGCAGAACGTGTAGGTTTTTTGCATAGGTATACACATGCCATGGTGGTTTGCTGCACCCCTCGACCTGCCACCTAAATTAGGTATTTCTCCTAATATTATCCCCCCCCAGCCCCCCAGCCCCTGACAGGCCCCAGTGTGTGATGCTCCCCTCCCTGTGTCCATGTGTTCTAATTGTTCACCTCCCACTTATGAGTGAGAACATGCAGTGTTTGGTTTTCTGATCTTGTGATAGTTTGCAGACGATGGTTTCCAGCTTCATCCATGGACAGAAACTCATCCTTTTTTTATGGCTGCATAGTATTCCATGGTGTATATGTGCCACATTTTCTTAATCCAGTCTATCACTGAAAAAGTTTTTTTTAATGTTAACTTCAGATAAAGAACAATTTCCTAGTATAAGCATATCCTCATGCAATATCTGACACATAATGAACAAATCATTGTTTATCTGAAATTCACTTGTGACTGGGCATCCTGTATTTAATCTGGCAACCCTACCTATATGGCAAGTTGCACAAGCAGGAGCGCTACACAGTGGCCCAGTGTAAGAACTACCCAGAGGAAACTCAAGGATAGAAAAGAGGAGGAAGAAGAAAAATCTTAAGGTAAATTAGCCTGACTCTAAGTTCCTATTTGAACAATGGTGTAAATGAATTTGCTGAGTTCAATCATTATTGCAATAGTTCACAGTAACGAATCTCCATTATGCACTGAATAATTTATATCAAGAAAAAGCAAATCTTTAAAAGAGCCATCAGTGTTTCTCCTTATAAAAATCTCCCTCACTTCATCAGCTTTTCTTTTTTATTATTATTATACTTTAAGTTCTGGGGTACATGTGCAGAATGTGCAGATTTGCTACACAGGTATACACGTGTCACGATGGTTTTTTGCACTCATCAACTCATCACCTACATTAGATATTTCTCCTAATACTATCCCTCCCCTATTCCCCACCCCAACAGGCCCCGATGTGTGATGTTCCCCTCCCTGTGTCCTGTGTTTTCATTGTTCAAATCCCACTTATGTGTGAGAACATGCAATGTTTGGTTTTCTATTCTTGTGTCAGTTTGCTGAGAATGATGATTTCCAGCATCATCATGTTCCTGCCAAGGACATGAACTCACCACTTTTTATAACTGCATGGTATTCCATGGCATATATGTGCCACATTTTTTTTATCTAGTCTATCATTGATGGGCACTTGGGTTGGTTCCAAGTCTTTGCTATTGTGAACAGTGCCTCAATAAACATACGTGAGCATGTGTCTTTATAGTAGAATGATTTATAATCCTTTGGGTGTATTCCCAGTAGTGGGATTGCTGGGTCAAATGGTATTTCTAGTTCTAGATCCTTGAGAAATCACCACACAGTCTTCCACAATGTATGAACTAATTTACATTCCCACCAACAGTGTAAAAACCTTTGTATTTCTCCACATCTTCTTCAGCATCTGTTGTTTCCTGACTTTTTAATGATCACCATTCTAACTGGCGTGAGATGGTATCTCATTGTGGTTTTGATTTGCATCTCTCTAATGACCAGTGATGATGAGCTTTTTTTCATATGTTTGTTGGCTGCATAAATGTCTCCTTTTGAGAAGTGTCTGTTCATATCCTTTGCCCACTTTTTCATGGGGTTGTTTTTTTTTCTTGTAAATTTGTTTAAATTGATTGTAGATTCTAGATACTAGCCCTTTGTCAAATGGATAAATTGCAAAAATTTTCTCCCATTCTGTAGGTTGCCTGTTCACTCAGACGACTGTTTCTTTTGCTGGGGAGAAACTCTTTAGTTTAATTACATCCCATTTGTCAATTTTGGCTTTTGTTGTCATTGCTTTTAGTGCATTAGTAGTGAAGGCTTTACCCTTGCCTATGTCCTGAATGGTATTGCCTAGGTTTTCTTCTAGGGTTTCTATGGTTTTAGGTCTTATGTTTAAGTCTTTAATCCATTTTGAGTTAATTTTTGTGTAAGGTGTAAGTAAAGAATCCAGTTTCCACTTTCTGCATATGGCTACCCAGTTTTCCCAATACTATTTATTAAATAGGAAATCTTTTCCCCCATTGCTTGTTTTTGTCAGGTTTGTCAAAGGTCAGATGGTTGTAGATATGTGGTGTATTTCTGAGGCCTCTGTTCTGTTCCATTGGCCTATATATCTGTTTTGGTACCGGTACCAATACCATGCTGTTTTTGTTACTATAGCCTTGCAGTATAGTCGAAAGTCAGGTAGCGTGATGCCTCCAACATTGTTCTTTTTGCTTAGGATTGTCTTAGCTATGCACAGTCTTTTTTGGTTCTATATGAAATTTAAACTAGTTTTTTTCCTATTCTGTGAAGAAAGTCATTGGTAGCTTGATGGGGATAGATAGCATTGAATCTATAAATTACTTTGGGCAGTATGGCAAATTTCATGATACTGATTCTTCCTCTCTATGAGTATGGAATGTTTTCCCATTTGTTTGTGTCCTCTTTTATTTTCTTGAGCTGTGGGTTGTAGTGCTCCTTGAAGAGGTCCTTCTCATCCTTTGTAAGTTGTATTCCTAGGTATTTTATTCTTTTTGTAGCAATTGTAAATGGTAGTTCACTCATGATTTGGCTCTTTGTTTCTCTATTATTGGTATATAGGAATGCTTGTGATTTTTGCACAATGATTTTGTATCCTGAAGTTGCTTATCAGTTTAAGGAGATTTTGGGCTAAGACAATGGGGTTTTCTAAATATACAATCATGTCATCTGCAAACAGAGACAATTTATCTTCCTCTTTTCCTAATTCAATAGTCCTTATTTATTTATCTTGCCTGATTGCCCTGGCCAGAACTTCCAATACTATGTTGAATAGGAGTGGTGAGAGAGGGTTTCCTTGTCTTGTGCCAGTTTTAAAAGGGAATGCTTCCAGTTTTTGGCCATTCAGTATGATATTGCCTGTGGTTTTGTCATAAGTAGCTCTTATTATTTTGAGATATGTTCCATCATTGCCTAGCTTATGGAGAGTTTTTAGCATGAAGGGCTGTTGAATTTTGTCGAAGGCCTTTTCTGCATCTGTTGAGATAATCATGTGGTTTTTGTCATTGGTTCTGTTTACATGATGGAATATATCTTTTGATTTGCATATGTTGAACCAGCCTTGCATCCCAGTGAAATAAACATGTTCTTTGAAACCAAAGAGAACAAAGACACAATGTACCAGAATCTCTGGGATATATTTAAAGCAGTGTGTAGAGGGAAATTTATAGCACTAAATACCCACAGGGAAAATCATGAAAGATCTAAAATCAACACCTTAGCAACACAATTAAAGGAACTAAAGAAGCAACAGCAAACAAATTCAAAAGCTAGAAGAAGATAAGAAATAACTAAGATAAGAGCAGAACTGAAGGAGATAGAGACACAAAAAACTCTTCAAAAAAATCAATGAATCCAGGAGCTGCTTTTTTTAATGATCAACAATATAGATTGACCACTAGCCAGACTAATAAAGAAGAAAAGAGAGAAGAATCAAACACATTCATTAAAAAATGATAAAGGGGATATTACCACCAATCCCACAGAAATATAAACTACCACAAGAGAATATCATAAACACCTCTATGCAAAAAACTAGAAAGTCTAGAAAAAATGGATAAATTCCTGGACACATACACCCTCCCAAGACTAAACCAGGAAGAAGTCGAATCCCTGTATAGACCAACAACAAATTCTGAAATTAAGGCAGCAATTAATAGCCTACCAACCAAAAAAAGTCCAGGGTCAGACGGAGTCACAGCCTAATTTTATTAGAGATACAAAGAGGAGCTGGTACCATTCCTTCTGAAACTATTAAAGTTAATAGAAAAAGAGGGAATACTCCCTAACTCATTTTATGAGGCCAGCATCATCCTGATACCAAAACCTGGCAGAAATATAACAAAAAATGAAAATTTCAGGCCAATATCCCTGATGAATATCAATGGGAAAATCCTCAAATAAATACTGCATGATATGTGAGATTTAATCCTGTCATTTGTTAGCTTGTAGTTATGTAGACTTGATAGTATAGCAGCTTTTTAATGTAATGTGATTAAGTGTGTTTTTGTGGTAGTTTTATTTCCATGTTTAACACTCCCTTGCAGACTTCTCCTAAGGCAGATCTAGTGGTAATAATTTCTGTCAGTATTCGCTTATTTGAAAAAGACTATAATTGTCCTTCATTTATAAAGTTTAGATTGTTAGAAATGGAAGAATATTCCATGCTCATGGGTAGGAAGAATCAATATTGTGAAAATGGCCATACTGCCCAAGGTAATTTACAGATTCAATGCCATCCCCATCAAGCTACCAATGACTTTCTTCATAGAATTGGAAAAAACTACTTTAAAGTTCATATGGAACCAAAAAAGAGCCCGCATCACCAAGTCAATCCTAAGCCAATCCTAAGCCAAAAGAACAAAGCTGGAGGCATCACACTACCTAACTTCAAACTATACTACAAGGCTACAGTAACCAAAACAGCATGGTACTGGTACCAAAACACAGACATAGACCAATGGAACAGAACAGAGCCCTCAGAAATAATGCTGCATATCTACAACCATCTGATCTTTGACAAATCTGACAAAAACAAGAAATGGGGAAATGATTCCGTATTTAATAAATGGTGCTGGGAAAGCTGGCTAGCCATATGTAGAAAGCTGAAACTGGTTCCCTTCCTTACACCTTATACAAAAATTAATTCAAGATGGATTAAAGACTTAAATGTTAGACCTAAAACCATGAAAATTCTAGAAGAAAAGCTAGGCAATACCATTCAGGACATAGGCATGGGCAAGGACTTCATGTCTAAAACACCAAAAGCATGGCAATGAAAGCCAAAATTGACAAATGGGATCTAGTTAAACTAAAAAGCTTCTGCACAGCAAAAGAAACTACCATCAGAGTGAACAGGCAACCTACAGAATGGGAGAAAATGTTTGCAATCTACTTATCTGACAAAGGGCGAATATCCAGAATCTACAATGAACTCCAAAAAATTCACAAGAAGAAAACAAACAACCCCATCAAAAAGTGGGCAAAGGATATGAACAGACACTTCTCAAAATAAGACATTTATGCAGCCAAAAGACACATGAAAAAATGCTCATGATCACTGGCCATCAGAGAAATGCAAATCAAAACCACAATGAGATACCATCTCACACCAGTTAGAATGGCGATCATTAAAAAGTCAGGAAACAACAGGTGCTGGAGAGGATGTGGAGAAATAGGAACACTTTTACACTGTTGGTGGGACTGTAAACTAGTTCAACCATTGTGGAAGTCAATGTGGCGATTCCTCAGGGATCTAGAACTAGAAATACCATTTGACCCAGCCATCCCATTACTGGGTATATACCCAAAGTATTATAAATCATGCTGCTATAAAGACACATGCATATGTATGTTTATTGCAGCACTATTCACAATAGCAAAGACTTGGAAGCAACCCAAATGTCCAACAATGATAGACTGGATTAAGCAAATGATAGACTGGATTAAGCCTTATCATAACCTCATTTTAATGCAAAATTACATTTCTACCAGCGATACAACAGGTGACTAATCACCCATGCAATGACTAGAACCAATCACAAGTGAGGCAAAACTACAGTTCTGAGAAGTTTAAAGCCCACTTTCTGAAAAGACATGATGTTCTTCTCCTTACTTTTAATGTCAGTCCTTTCATTAGAGAAATAATGTATTTTAACCCCCTTCTGTTCACTAGTAGAGAATTTCATTTGTGAACCATGCTCTCATTTCTCAATTTCCTGGCTATAAAGCCTGAAATACTTGACACTCATTTTTTATTTCTTGTATTGGCTTCATGACAAGAACAGGGAAAGACCCATCTTTTTTAGGGGACAGGCTTTGACAGTAGCAGAACTGGCAACCCAGATAGGATCCCGGACAAGATAATCCACGTCTCTTTTTGGGAAGTCATGTTACTTCCCTAGAGATCCAGCACTGCCATCTGAAAGTTTCAGCGAACAAAGAAGGTAAATTGATTCTAACTCTAGGTGCCAGAAATCAGCTTCAGGGAAGGTAATGTATCATTGTTGTGTGGTCATAAACAGGCAGACAAAGGGTTATACAGCTGTACTGGGAAGGACACCCTGAGCTAAGGATGGCAGGAATGCTCACCCAAAATGAAGGTTGTGCATGGGAAACCTGACACCATGTCATAATCTTATCCTCAGTAAAAAGTCCCTGTGGAAATCCTTGAAAGGGGAAAAGAGGACTTGTTGCTGGATAATTATTGTGGTCCTTTGGTGATGTCATATTTTCTTACTTTTTCTTGTTTTGGTGTCCTTATGTTAGGATCTACACATCTGCCATAACAGATGCTTCTTACAAGTTTTTGAAATTGCTCTGATAGGGGAGAATTTTTTCCTGAAGGTACACACACACACACACACACACACACAATTGTTTGAGACATTTGGCTTTGATTTTGGGTACCTGCAGTTGTGTAATCTCTGTATGATTTCTTCAGTACTAAACAAGTTCAGTGGTGTCTCTGATTTGCTCAGTGGCTTAAGGTATGGTTATTAGTTGACGTTATGGTGAAGTTTTTCTGGGGACTGTGATACCAGGTAGGTTAATGCCCCCAGTAGCAGTGGTACATCAAGCATCCCTGTTCATAGCCATCAATGCAGCTTAAACAGGCACCAATGTTACTGGGTCCTGGAAAGTCAATTCTTGGACCACTGGACGGCTTGTTTAGACACTGGTAGTGAGAGCAATGATCTGGGTGGCTAGGTGGATTCTCAGGTCCCCGTCCAGCTGGTATGATATATGTTATAGCAGTACCAGTGGTGGAGGAACACATAGGGAACCAGAAGCCCATGTTGGTGTTGCTGGTAGCTGTGATGTATTGGTTAGGATAGTTCTCTAGCTTGCTGGTGGCATGAATGGATGGGTGTCATCTGTGGCAATATCAATAGATTGGCTCCGTCTGACTACAGACCCTGGCAGAAGTGATCAGATGTGATTGGTGATGGGCTGGGCCAGGATATTTCCGGGCTCCTGGATAACATATTAGAGCCCTGGGTCTGGGGCTTCTCTTTAGGGCCCTGGTAGTATCTTCGCACACTGGCTGTGACAGACAGGCATTACTGGAGGAATGCTCTAGTGTGGGATGATATGGTTGGTGCATTGTGAGCCTACCACCAGGGAGAGGGGCCTCTCAGGTGGAACAGCATGGGTAAGAAGCTAAAGAAGCTGTGGGGAGTTAAGACTTTTCATGCCCTAGTCTCACAGTAGCCCACAGCAGAGTGGTGGGAATTGTCTTATGTTTGTCTAACAGTCTGGTCTCACCTGTCCTTTCTTGGTCACATGGTAGCTGCAGCCATGTCTGTTTGGACTCAGCCCCAGTGTGGAGCACATCCTAACCTTAAATTCTCAAGATGGTGCCATGAACCCATGAGTAGAAAGGGCAGGGTTTCTCTCTGGCGAGTTGCATGAGTAAGAAGTTGTGAGGACTGTTGACTTATCACACCCTGGTCCTACAGTATGCTGTAGCAATAGGGTAAGGATTGTCCTAGTGGTCTGTGGGAGTGTCCCTTCTCTCCTCTCCCTTTTTGGCCCAGTGGCAGCAGCCATTTCAGTTCTGGCCTCTGGGCAGGAGTAGATCCCAGCATGTAGATTCTTAGAATCGTGCCAAGCTGTAGCTGCTCTGGGCTCATGTCTGTGGGATTCTAGATGTGTTCCCTTTCTGGAGCAATGTCTCTGTGCAATGTCTAGGTCTCTCCCTATGTTAGGCCTGAGGCTTACATGGATCAAGGGTATCTCCCATAGTCAATAACACTCTTGCAGAAGAGTGGAACCCTGGGGATTTCTCTTTTACTCTTTTTCCATATTTAGGAGCTTCTCTTAATCTCTGGCTGGGCAAGCTACCTTAAGCCCTTTTATTATGTGCTTTCAGTTATTCTTATCACTTGTCTGTTCAACCCTAGGATTCTCTCTTAGACAATGTGTTTAAAGTGTGAATATCACTGGCTATTGGGTTTTCTCTCCATGGAAGTTGTACATATTAGCAATATCTAATCAGCTATTTTGATCCTCTTCCTCAGGAAGTAGTCAATACAATAACATATTTTCTTTTTAAAATTCAACTTATTCATAAATGAAATTTTTGTTTATATAAAAAATTTTCTACTGAAATTTTGTCCTCTCTTCCAAAACAGCTGATAATTTTTAAATGTTTAAGGCAGACCTAAATGGAGAGATTTCAAGCAGAGTTATCCATATGTTAAGACTGTATGAATTAGGATATTCAGTTGGGAAAAACAAATAGAATCATACTGTTTTTGTGATACTGGTCATCAAACTCTGGATAATTCTCGACAGTGAATCAGAAACAAGAATTCTGTTGTTTACATTGAACAAATATATAATTTCTTATCATTCAAAAATATGAGACAACATAAAAAAATACATTGTTAAAGCCAAAGACCTCTACTTTTTGTTTTCAATCATTTCTTTAGTAGAGCTCACCCATAATTTTGTAGAAAAATTTCTTAATCCTTTTAGGAACTTCAATAAACATAAATAAAATGAAATAAAAATAAAATAAAATAAAATAAATTGAAGGAGAATATGTATTATACTTCCCTTCTCTCTCCTTTTACTCCCTCACTCTCTCACCTCTTCTCTACAAATACGCTAAAGCCTGTTTTCTTAAAACTTAGTGTTACAATTTCCTTCAAAGCGTATTCTTGCCTTCAATATACAATTCACCAATAAATATATTCATAAATACAAATACACCCTGGGTACTGCTGGCATTTAGAACTATATTCTATCTTGGGTACAGCTGGCATTTAGAACTATATTCTACGTTCACTTTAACTCATCTGTGTTGCCCTTTATAATCTTCTACATCTTTCTGTATAGCAAGAAGTAGAAGGTGATAGGTTTACCTTTCTTCCTTTTAGCTTGAAAGATTTACCTTTCTTCATAAAAATTATTCATTTCTTGCTAATATCCCCACATCATCCTAGAATCTTATTTTCATCTTTAAAAAATTTCTAAGTGCCATGTGGTGAATTAGGACAGGTAATAACTTTCCATTTACTAAGGATGTCTCTCTCTAATTTTCATGCTAATTCTATTAAAAGGGTTTTATTACTGTTCCCAGTTTATATATGAAGAAACTGTGGCTCAGACAGGCTAAATAACTTGAAGGTTGTCCCTTGGTGAAACTTGGGTAAGGTGAACCCACATGCATTTATATCATAGCATTAACTATTATACACATGATTTTCATACATATTTTGTCCTTGAATTTAATTCTTCAAATTTGGCTCATGTATATGGTATAATATTCATATGCAAAAAGTTTATAAATATTAGCTAAGTATTCAAAGAGATTCAGCTATAATATTAGTTGTATCTGGGTATTACTATTTCCTTTATTAATTTAATATTGATAGACATCATTCATTATCTCTCGATGCTAGATTTTTAATTGATCAGATATAAAATAAAATCATAAATGTTTGTGGTTCACTAAGATGAAAGTGTTATAAAAAAGCATGCGTTTAATAGATCACAGTCCTCAGAGACGGACAGACTTTTCTTGTTTTTGCTTAGGCAAAGTAGAGCTTATTAAAAATATGAAAACAATGCAACTAAAGAGACACTAAAGAAAAAGAAAATCTGTTTCATGCATGAAAGAAAGCAGAAATGGGCTAGAAGTACACGGGCAAAGAAGGCCATCATACTTAGAAAGGTTGATACGCTATGTAGGATGAAGTAGCCAGGGCAATATGCCTTATGATAGGTGTTCCTAAGTATTTAAATATATTTTGATGTGTGCTGACCAATGTGTAAAATCCCTCTTGTCTTGCCTTTTAGATCATGCATAAAAGTTTTGCTACTATGATAACCTTGAATTTGTTTAGATAATAAATAGTTGCAGATCACACCAGAGAGACTTTTGGCGCTTTTCTGAACACCAGAGTGGTGACAAATGAGTAGCAACAGGGAACAAAGGACATACCTTTAAGGAAAGCAAAAAATACAGTTGTAGTGATTTTAAAATTTTAATCGATCACAGGCAATGACATAAGATCCTCTTAAACATAAGTCTGAATGTTTTGGCATGTGCAAGCTACAAATTTGCTGACTTAAAAACAGTGCAATGAAGTTCCTTTTGCCTGTTAAACATATTATTGACTATAATGAAGAACTATATGGACTAATCACAATATACTACCTTATATTTAGCCATGGTTGCAAAAAAATTATGATGATACAGGAATTTTTAGTCATATTCAACACATTTTTTCTTCACAAATCTGATTGGTTGTTGTAGATACCTTGAAGGATATAAATTGAGCTCATAGTTAAAGAAAATCTAGAGGACCAAGCCTCCCTGTGTAGCACAAAGAAAGTTTCTCTGAATATATTTAAAGGTATGTGGATTTTACATATTATTTTGTGTCCTTTTTATTCTGCTTCTTTTCTGTAATTCATATTTAATAGATGCAAATAAATTCCATGTTTCTAATACTTTATGCTGTTAAGAATCAGTTACTTCTGTTGGATTATAATTAAATTTGACTCTCATTATGTAATTTTTTTTTTTACTTTATAATGCTTCAAAGCATTTGTCTATATGTGTATTTAAATTTTAATTTTAGAAACCAAAAGGAGTTCCTGGAAGCCAAACTCACTTGTAAACTAAATTGAAATAATACTTTAAGGCTATCTTTATTACTTTTAACACTTTTTTTGTTAAATACATCAAATAATACCTTATTTCATACTAAAACCATCATCTAAAACTTTATCTCTTTTTAAAAATTATTTCAAGTTTAATAACACACATTTAGGATACAACATCAATGTAGTACTCATATCAGCATTACTACATATTATATTCACTGTCTTTACCAAAATTAATGTCTTTTTACTTAAAGATTTTTAAAGTTAGTCAATAATTTGAGCCATGAAGCATTGTGCATGTGTTTAAGTGAACAAGTTTTAATTCATATCTCACATCTCTAATTTGTAGAGTAATTAAATTAGAACATATATCAAAGGGAAGATACCATGAAATAAAATAGAATCTTTGAGATATAAATAATCCAAAACTTACTGAAGAATCAATAAATTCACAGATTATTGTTTTCTTTGCCTTTCTGTTTAACCTCATCTTTTGCTATGCAGACCCCCTGAGCTCAGACATTTTACCTGCCTGAAGCTCTATAAGGCTAGAAATCCCTGTCATTTCTTAATCTGTTTTGGCAAATAACTTAGATTTTTTTCCCTCAAATCATCAGTCTTTGTTTTTAACAATATCAATACCTAGATGGATAATATAAGAAATATTTCTCAGCTCCTCATTTTAAAATAATAAAATGCTATGTAGTAATGGGTAAATACCTACCTTGACGGGCTCTTGAACCTTAAGAGCCAAATTTGTTCCTTTGATTATTAATTAAAAATTATACTTAGCTTATATGGCTTTACAGGACCATGCAGACAGACAGGAATATGGCATTCCAAATTACATAACAACATGATTTATTTTCCTCAACTTGTTCAGTTTCCAACCTAAATGAAAAATGATTTTATGCTAACTACTGTGACTCCAAAACAATAAAATGGACTGAGAACTTGAAATCAAATAAGAAAAATTAACCTTGCAAAGAATATCCTACTTGCTACCCACAGACAAATGCAGATTATGTTTTTTAAGGCACTTTATGGTGCACATGTTTGAGAAGAGATGAGAAAAGCACTTGCTGATTTTCATTTCAGAACCATCAAGAAATGGGGACCTGGATTTTGTTTGCCTGCCTTGTGGGAGCAGCTTTTGCCATGCCTGTGAGTAAAACATTCTTTGCATAAGTTGTGTCCAATTTACAAACGTGGAAATAAGAATTTGTCCCCCAGCTGGGAAACTTTAAGGTTTAAAACAGTTTGAGCTAAGAGGCCCCAAAACATCTGTGCTGAAGAAACACTTTGGGGAATGAAAAAATAGATTATCTCTTCCTAGCTTATTTTGCTTAGTATAATGTCTTTCATGCTCATTCGCATCTTTGTAAATGTCAAGATTTTATTCCTTTTTAAGGCTGAATAGTGTTCCATTGATTAGCCTCATTTAATCTTTCCACCCTGTAAATATATATCAAAACATCATATTGTACACCATGAATATATATAACTATTATGCACCCACAAAAATTTAAAAATAAATCTATTAATTAAATAAATAAAATAGCTTCTGAGATGCCTCCACTAGAGGTTCTGATTTGGTACAGCTGGGGTTGGGCCCAGGACTCTATTTTCACAAGCACCCCAGGAGATTCAGTTGATACCATTAGCCTGGAAATATCACCACCCATTTCTACATGGAGGAAGTTTTTGGTTTTTGTAGGTTTTTTTGTTGTTGTTGTTGTTGTTGTTGTTGTTGTTGTTTTGAGATGGAGTCTTGCTCTGTCGCCCAGGCTGGAGTGCAGTGGCACAATCTCAGCTCACTGCAACCTCTGCCTCCCAGGTTCAAGCGATTCTCCTGCCTCAGCCTCCTGAGTAGCTGGGACTACAGGAATGTGCCAGCATGCCGCGCTAATTTTTTGTATTTTTAGTAGAGACGGTGTTTCACCATGTTAGCCAGGATGGTCTCGATCTCCTGACCTCATGATCCACCCGCCTCGGCCTCCCAAAGTGCTGAGATTACAGGCATGACCCACGGCACCTGGCCTGGAGGAAGCTTTTGAAAGGGACTCTTGAAAGGTCTCCAGAGAAAGTGCTTAATCAGCCTTATAAAAATATTACCAAAATGCCCGTTTGGTCTAAAACCTAATTCCTCTCAAGTTTCCAGATATCTTCTTGCCCTCCACATATTACTGCTGTTACCACTTGAAGGGTAAGATTTCTGTGTTAGGAATCCACTTCTAGAAACATCTTGACTATTCTCAGAAGTCCTACCCCTTTGGGTGCATCTGATAAGTATGTGGCTTTCTTGTGGTTGTCCAGGATCCCACCTACACCCAATATATAGTGATGTATTTTGTATTTAAATGTATTAAACACCAGGGTGTCACTCTCACTCTGTCTGGACACAGGTGCATAAAGGCAGAGAACTTAGATCATATGCATGCCAAGCAGCCTGCATATACTTTTTGGTGGCATAAAGAGCAGTTGATACAACCAGAAGCCAGCAAGCTTCCACACCTACCTCCTCTCTTCCTCTCTCACCCACAAAACCAAGATTCTGTGCTCTGCCTTCCTGAAATCCTGCACTGTGGCAATCCCTAGTCTTCTCAGGAGTCCCGGCATTACGAATTCAGCCCTTTTCCTGCTCTCTAAGATGGTATCGATCAAAAGGGTATAGGACCTGAATAAAACCATTCACATGCAGATGAGAGTGAATAAACCCCTCCTATGAAATGTGAGAATTTTGAAATAATATAATATAGCCAGTCCTAAATGAGGTCAATATCTGAGGGAGATTTTCTTCATGATTGTCTCTCTTCTTCACGTGGACCCCGGGTGCAACCAGAGTTCCACAAGGCAGGCGCCAAACACTTGGCTTCCACTTTTGAGAGGATAGACAGTCCTGATTCAGATTATCATTCATGTGGCCTTTTATTTTTAACTTAAAAATTTTTTTCTGCCATAAAAACACTGGGAGAATCATAAAAAAGATTGGCCTAAATAAACTCTTTCATTTTTCCATTGGATTTATAATGTTTCTACTTTCTCCACCCATCTTGTTCTGGCATTCATTAATTTCCACCTTGTGGTTTCTTTTGTGGCTTCTTTTGTTGTATGGATGTGTTGTTTACTTTGCCTGTCAATTATGAGAAATCCCTTAGATACTTACAGTACTTGACCACCTCCTGATCTACAAGGGAACATTTGTGAGACAACTGCTTGTTGATATTTCTTTACCGTGTAAAAGAAACATACTTCACTCCCCAACATGGGATGAGTTTTATCAGCAAGTAAACTGTTAGACAGGATAAGGTAGAATTCATTGACAGCACTGGGGTGGGAGAAGGATGTTGTTTGATCACTGGAGAATAAATGTGTCCTGGTTTCTGCTTCCAGGTCTCCAACTTTAAGACTATAACCCCAGGGACAATCATTTAGCTATTCTAGACCTCTTTAAAATAAGAAGTCTCCTCTCCTACATAGCACACTTGTTTTAACGAAAAACAGACCTCAAATATATTCTGTACTATATAGATTTTTTAAAAGTAATTTTAGTCTCTCTTAATGTTAACAATTGCATATTGACTTAATCTCTTACTCTCTCTTCCCTTCCTTCACACTCTCCCTTCCTCTCTCTTTCTCTTCTCCTCCCCTCCTCCCTATAAAAGCTACCACCTCATCCTGGGCACCCTGGTTATATCAACTTCAGCTATGAGGTAATTTTTCTCTTTACTAATTTTGATCACTGTTTGCATTAGCAGTCCCCTGGGCTCTGTAAAGAATAGTGGGTGGATTCTTCATCCCAAATAAAGTGGTTTCTCAAGTGGTCCCAATTTTACAGTTCCTACCATCAGCTTCCCAGTTTAAGCTCTGATGGTTGGCCTCAAGCCTGTGTTGCTCCAGCACCCTCCTGCCTGACCATTCGGATTGACTCTTTCCTCCTAAATATGGCTGTAAGTTTATTCATTCATGAACCACTGCTCAGGAAGGTTCCATGAAAGGGCAAAAAGTCAACTCTGACTGACCAGCTTGGTTCTATCCCATCCGGTAAAATGTAAAGATTAGGTAAAATTACTAACTTTGGGCAAATAATTTCCTCTCTTTGGAACCCTGGTTTTCTCATTTGGACAAGGGAAATTACTGTAATATTCACATTTCAAAATATTGGAGAATAATATAGTTAACAATTATAAAAACTGCTTTGTCAAGTATAATATGAGCAAGGTAACTGATTTTTTTTATTGATTACATGCTGTATTACCATATAAAGAATCCCCAAACCTAAGGTTAACTAAGTGTGTATACTGTTCAGAAAGGAATAAAATTCTTACTTCTCTCATAGGTTCAGGTAACAATCTGTGAGTTTATTTACTTACACAAGCTGCTGACAAATGTTAATAAGAATCTGAGGCAAGGTTTTCTGTTAAACCTAAAAGATTGACAAATTTGATCAGTAAAATCTGTGTTTTTAGGTTGAGGGACAGTGTTTGCACCGCTTTTTTCCCCATTGTGACATCAAAGGAAAGATGAAATTAACATTATGTCACATTATTGCGGCATAATTTTATGTTTGCTTTGCTCTTACAATGAAAAGCAGGACCTATGGAAATAAACAGATTTACTCCCTTTGTAACTTCAGTCAAGTTAATGAATCTCTTTAACTTCCCATGACCTTATCTAAAAAGTGAGAGTAACAATACTTGCCTCCTAGCATATAAGGAAAGATGAAGAATGTGTGTGATGGATGTAAACACAGTGCCTGACACACAGGAAGTACCCAACAAATGTTTTACCTTCTTCTTTCTCTTGTAGAACTCACATTCTCAGGCTATCAATGTTGACAGGATTGCTTTAGTGAGTCTATATTTCCTACCGCATCAGTGAATTTCTGCATGGGATGAAAGTAAATTAAATCAAATGGATTCTAATATATCTTTCTCTTAAGGTGCTCACCCCTTTGAAGTGGTACCAGAGCATGATAAGACCACCAGTATGTAGACATTTTGTTCTTTATTCCCTGAAAATATTAGGCATGCATTTAAATTCCCATTTTAAGAAAATACCATGTGTACTCCACATACAGACACTAATGGGAAATTTAGTTTGTAAAAAATCATGTCTGTGTACACAGTTACAAATTTTTGCAAAGGAAAGATAAATACAATATTCCTATGGCCATAATGGCAAAGACAACACTGCTGCTTCTCTGGTTGGAGTCACGTGAGCCAATGGTAAACCTGCATCTCTGTTTCTCACCAGTACTCTTCCTATGGTTACGAGCCCATGGGTGGATGGCTGCACCACCAAATCATCCCCGTGGTGTCCCAACAGCACCCCCTGACTCACACCCTGCAGTCTCATCACCACATCCCAGTGGTGCCAGCTCAGCAGCCCAGGGTCCGCCAGCAAGCACTGATGCCTGTTCCTGGCCAGCAATCCATGACTCCAACCCAACACCATCAGCCAAACCTCCCTCTGCCTGCCCAGCAGCCCTTCCAGCCCCAGCCTGTTCAGCCACAGCCTCACCAGCCCATGCAGCCCCAGCCACCTGTGCAACCCATGCAGCCCCTGCTGCCACAGCCACCTCTGCCTCCAATGTTCCCCCTGCGGCCCCTGCCCCCCATACTTCCTGATCTGCATCTGGAAGCTTGGCCAGCAACAGACAAGACCAAGCAGGAGGAAGTGGTGAGTACACCTTGAAGCCACTACAATGCAAATCCTGTGAAAATGGTGCAGCAAAGTTGGCCCCAGAGTTCTAAGGGGTCCAACAACTCAGGGTCTAGAGTTGTAGTAGTTACAGATCTATGATTCTATTAGTCCAAGTAATATGTTGTATCTTTACATTATAAACAAATTTATCTAAATGGCTTGGTAATTAAGAACACAGTTTTTATGATAGGTTTAAATTTTATTATTATTGAATTTCTACCAGACTGTATATTATGACAACCCATTAATAGAAAAATATATTATTAAACCCTCTTAATTTTAAGGGCAACAGCAATAAGGGAATATCAGTTCTTTCATTTCAAAGATTTGACTCACAAGAAGAGGCTAGAATTGCAGTGAAGGCTTAAGATAAGATGGGGTGGGTAATTTTTAGAGTGCATATATTTGAACAAGCTATGAAAGGTAGATGGGAAATCTCTTTAAAAAAACCTATACGAAGGTTTCCCATTTTCAGTAGTTTTCAGTCTAACTTGGAGGAGGCTAAACTAAACATGCTGTTAGAGTCCTTTTTAGTGCTGAGATTCTATAGATGATTAAGCTTTTAAAAAGAAGTTACCTCAATTTATGACTGAATCTCCCATTACAAGAAGCACTTACAAATGAATGGGAATAATCAATAAAAAAACTTTATCCACATCCATAAAATCTTATTTCTACGTATATAAGATTATGTGATCTATCACTTATATGTATCCAACTGTAATTCCAATTTATACAAGCTATTGATGATATACTACTGAGAAGCAGAGAAAAGTGAGGTGGAAATGACCAGGATAGACAGCCAGGACAGCTAGGTTCAAGTTCTGGCTTTGCCCTCAAAAAGGAGGCACTATTGTAAAAGTTACTTCAAATGTGTGAGTATTTTCGTTTCTTTTAAATGGGGGAAAATGACAAAATCAGATCATTTTCAAGCCTCTGTCCAGGTATAAATGTGATAACTTCTGAATTAAAAAATCATAATATATGTTATAAATGGCTTAATAATTGTGAGCATGTTTACAGAGAATATGGGGCAGAATTTTTGAAAATTGATTGAGGCTGGGTGGGGTGGCTCACACTTGTAATCTCAGCACTTTGAGAAGCCCAGACAGGTGGATCACCTGAGGTCAGGAGTTTGAGACCAGCCTGGTCAACATGGTGAAACCACATCTCTACTAAAAACACGAAGGGAAAAAAAAAAGTTAGTTGGGCGTGGAAGCAGATGCCTGTAATTCCAATTACAAGGGAGGCTGAGGCAGCAGAATTGTTTCAACCGAGGAAGTGGAGGTTGCAGTGAGCCAAGATCGTGCCATTGAGCTACAGCCTGGGTAGCAAGAGTGAAACTCCGCCTCAAAAAAAAAAAAAAAAAAAAAGAAAGGAAATTGATTGAATCCCAAGTAATCTGACGACTATCATTGGCTATTCTAGTCTAAAGCACATGTTCTCTCTGTGCATAGAAAATGCATTTATTTATCTCCTTATTAAGAATTAACACCGTGGATTTATAATGTGCTCACACCTTGACAAAGCTATTTATGGAAAGGTGACTTTGGGCAGATAGTTTGAACTCTTTAAAACTCAGTTTCTTTTCGTATAAAATTTGAGTATAAATAATAGTTTCTTAGAGTTGTTTTAAGAAAAATAAAATAGCATGGTGAGCTTGGAACCTGGCATGCAAGAATTACTCAAAGAAAGGTAGCAATTGTTATTTTGTTATAAAATAATAGGCTTTAAGTGTTCCAAAGGTAGAAGAAGGCTTCATGGACACCTAATATCTAATGACAACGAATGAACAAAGAAACTTTGGAAATTATAGAGTTCAACTTAAGTGGTTGTACATTGGTTTGACAAAACCGAAGGCATACATGTATTGTAAATGGTACTCACTGGAAACAATTAAATTATTTAATTGTTCCTTTTGCTATTTTTTTCAGGATTAAAAGACCAGAATATGAGACAGGAACTGAAGTAAACACTTTAGTTGCTTTCAGGGATGACACAAGCACACAATGATTTTTGCTTACAATCACTTAACTTAGCAAATTCTGTAACTAAAAATGTACCAATAGTAGACAATAAAATGTTTTAAAAATCATTCATGTCTTTGTGTTGAATGAAACTTAAATTTTCCTATCATTTGAGACAACATATTATGAATGAGTATTCTTGAATAAGGTAAGAACTGCTCATTTACTCATACAAATTCACCATTTGGCAAGCAAATAGGGACTATATTTCTTTTTAGAGAAAACTGAAATTATACTACGTCAAATCTTTTTAAAAAATGAAGTTTACACATCAGTTAAAATCGTTGATAAAATAAAAATGTATGAACATATACAATCACTGAAACCTGAACCAAATGAAGGGAAGTTTATATGACAATTTCTTTGCATTTAAAAAGATAAACTTTTGAAGACTGTATTACAAAACAAATTAGGATATGGAATACTGGTTGTGTACTTCACACCACATCAGCAATCAAAATCTGGTTTTTTGATCTCATTCTATAGAAAATGATTTTTAAATAAAATTATGTGATATGCATAATAATATACTGAATTGAAAATTATTTAAGTAATTTGTTTTCTTAAGAGATGTTATTAATGGAACTTCAAATAGGGAATTGCAGTTATGTTATATACAAGTCATTTATTTCACTTCATAAACTTTAAGATGATAAATTGTATTGCACAGCCTTCAAAATGTTAACAGATGCATAAAATGGACTCCAAACAGGTTTTCTGTGCCACTCATATTTACATTTGAATCCCTTTTTTTTTTGCCTACACCCACACGGAATTGTAAACAGTCTTTGCGGGGTTTATATTACATGCACCCATGGTAACTTTATTTCAGTACCCTTATGATTAAGACCCCTTAATCATTTTCTGGAATGGATAAACACAACTTTACTGGAAGGGTGTCAATATTCAAGCAAATAACTTCATTTTAAAGAACTTAGATTCAATTTTTTAAAGGTAGAAATTTTTTAAAGGTAGAAAAACTTTTAATCAATTGGCCTGGACCAATTCTAATCAATTGAGTCCACATAAGCACAGTCTAGGGCAGGGCACTACTCTATGTGCTGTTGAAAATAGTTAGGTCCACATCCTTAAGGAATCTAGAAATTACGAAAGGGATAAAAGAAGCCTACAAATAACAACTAAAAATGCCAAATGGCCTTTTCTGTCATAGTAATAATACTATGACAGAAGTACAGTCAAAATGTTCTGGCTTTTCTCAGCACTCCTTCCTTGCTGGCAGGACTGGAATCAATCCCAGCATTCAGCCTTCCATGAGCTCAGGAGCGAGGAGTTCCCTTGCTACCCCGGGGAGCCCCCACCCCACAGCCAAGGGAGGTGGTGAGTGAGCTTGATACCCAGCCTGGGAAACCATGTCCCACAGAACAGTGCAATCCACAGATTGAAAAGTGCCATTCATGAACTCATGCCACTGGGGCCTAGGGTCCCAATTCTGGAGCCCTGAAGATTCTTAAAAGCCTCTCAGCTAGAATCTGCTTAAGCCTGTTGAGTTCCTTGGGGGAGGGCTGACCAGCACCACAGCTGCAGCTGCCTACTGCCTAAGCAGTTTGTAGTCTGTGAGGGAGGGGCAGCAGCAAGCACTGAGACTGATGGCTGCGTAACACGCTAAGCTCCGCAAGTTGGGGAAGGGTGGCATCCATCTCTATGCCCCAGGCTATGCTTTTCCCCTGCTGGAGCCAGGGAGGCTGGACAGCTGGACAGCTTGGTCCCAAGAGGTGTCCCACACAATCTAACTGTGGCAGACTGCAGACAGGGCACCTCTTCAGGCCTGGTCAACCCATTCTTCCTCAATGAGTGGGCCTCCCTGGAGGAATCCAGCAACTCCAGCCAGAGGCTCAGTTGTTGGAGATATCAGAACCCTCGTCTCCCTGGCTCTGAGCCCCTAGAGGTGTGGTCACAGTCTCTGGGGACAAGCAGACTTAGCCTTTCCTCCTGGCAGATCTGAAGAATCCAGGCAGCCCAGATGAGTGATTTTCCCTCCAGCAAAGCATACCCCTACACCAAGAGACAGTCAAAGTGCTTCATTAAATGGGTCCTGTTCCCTGTGCTACTCAACTGGATAAGATCCACCAACAAGGGTTTTCAGATCCCTATAGAGGAGCTGTCCTACTGGCATCAGGTTGGTGCCCCAAGAGGCCAGAGATCCCAGAAGAAGGAGCAACCACCCATCTTTGCTGTTTCCCCGCCTCTTTGAGTAACATCTCCAAGCATGGGAGTGTACCACATGAATAGGGCGTGAAGTGAACCCCCAGCAAATCACAGCAGCCCTACAGACGAGGGATCAAACCATTGAAAGAAATACAAACAGAAACCAATAACAACACCATCAATGACCACAAAAAGTCCCCACAAAAAGCCCGTTCAGGCTCAGCAGCCTCAAAGTGTTAATAGACAAACCCATAAATATGAGAAAGAATCAATGAAAAAAACGCTGAAAACCCAGAAGGCCAGAGTGCTTGTCCTCCATATGATGGCAATGCCTCTCCAGCAAGGACACAAAACTGGATGGAGGATGAGATGGATAAAATGATATAAGTAGGTTTCAGAAGATGGGTAATAAGAAAGTACACTGAGCTAAAGGAGCATGTTCTAACCCAATGCAAAGAAGTTAAGAGCCTTGATAAAAGGTTAGGGGAGCTGCTAACTAGAATATCTAATTTAGAGAGTTACATAAGTGACATGATGGAGCTGAAAAACACAGCATGAGAACTTTGTGAAGCATACACAAGTATCATAGCCAAATCAACCATGCAGAAGAAAGGATATGAGTTTGAAGGCCACCTTGCTCAAATAAGGTTTGCAGACACGATTAGAGAAAGAAGAATGAAAAGAAACAAGCAAAGCCTTCAAGAAATATGGGACTATGTAAAGAGACTGAATCTACGATTGATTTGAGTACCTGAAGGAAATGGGGAGAATGGAATCAAACTGGAAAACTCACTTCAGACATTATCCAGCAGAAATCTCCCAACCTAGCAAGACAGGCCAACATGCATATTAAGGAAATATAAAGAACAACACTAAGATACTCCACAAGAAGATCAACCTCAAGACATATAATCATCAGATTCTCCAAGGTTGAAATGAAGGAAAAAATGTTAAGGGAAGCCAGAGAGAGAGGCCAGGTCACCTAAAAAAGGAAAGCCCATAAGAGTAACAGCAGACATATCAGCAGAAACCTTGCAAAGCAGAAGAGATTAGGGGCTAATATTCAACATTCTTAAAGAAAAAATTTTCAACTAAGAATTTCATATCCAGCCAAACTAAGCTTCATACGTGAAGGAGAAATAAAATCCTTTCCAGAGAAGCAAATGCTGAGGGGTTTCATCACCACCAGGCCTGCCCTTGCGAGAGCTCCTGAAAGAAGCACTAAATATGTAAAGGAAAACCAGAACACCAACTGCAAAAACACACTGAAATATAAAGACCAATGACACTATGAAGAAACTGCATCAACTAGTGTGCAAAATAACCAGTTAGCATCATGATGACTGGACCGAATTCACACATAAGAGTATTAACCTTAAATGTAAATGGGCTAAATATCCCAATTAAAAGACACAGACTAGCAAATTGGATAAAGAGTCAAGTCCCATCAGTATGCTTTACTTAGGAGACCATCTCCTATGCAAAGACACACATAGTCTCAAAATAAAGGAATGGAGGAAAATGTACCAAGCAAATGAACAAATAGGAAGCAAAAAAAGAGCAGGGGTTGCAATCCTAGCCTCTGAAAAAAACATACTTTGAACCAACAGAGATCAAAAAAGACAAACGATACATAATAGCAAAAGGATCAATTCAACAAGAAGAGCTAACTATCCTAAATATATATGCACCCAATACAGGAGCACTCAGATTTATAAAACAAGTTCCTATAGACCTACAAAGAGACATAAACTCCCACACAATAATAGTGGGAGACTTTAACATCCTACTGTCAACATTAGACAGATCCATGAGACAGAAAATTAACAAGGATAATCAGCTTGAACTTGAACTCAACTCTGATTATCTAGTGGACCTAATAAATATCTATGGAGTGCTCCACCCTAAATCAATAGAATATACATTCTTCTCCGTGCCACATGGCACTATTTCTTAAATTGACTATGTAATTGGAAGTAAGACACTCCTCAGCAAATGCAAAAGAAGTAAAACCATAACAAACAGTCCTTCAGATCACAGTGCAATCAAATTAAAACTCAGATTAAGAAACTCAATAAAAACTGCCCAATTACATAAAAGTTGAACAGTCTGCTCCTGGATGACTCCTGGGTAAATTAAGGAAGAAATCAAGGAGTTCTCTGAAACCAATGAGAAGAAAGAGACAACATACCAGAATCTCTGGGACACAGCTAAAGTAGTGTCAAAAGGGAAATTTATGGCACTAAATGCTACATCAGAAGGCTAGAAAAATCTGAAATGACACCCTAACTGTCAGGCCTCTGAGCCCAAGATAAGCCATCATATCCCCTGTGACCTGCACCTACACATCCAGATGGCCTGTTCCTGCCTTAACTGATGACATTCCACCACAAAGGACAGGAAAATGGCCTGTTCCTGCCTTAACTGATGACATTAGCTTGTGAAATTCCTTCTCTTGGCTCATCCTGGCTCAAAAGCTCCCCCACTGAGCACCTTGTGACCCCGCCCCTGCCCCGCCTAAGAACAATCCCCTTTGACTCATTTTCCTTTACCTACCCAAATCCCATAAAATGGCCCCATCCCTATCTCACTTCACTGACTCTCTTTTTGGACTCAGCTTGTCTGAAACCAGGTGAAATAAACAGCCTTGTTCTTCACACAAAGACTGTTTGGTGGTCTCTTCACACAGACAGGAGTGATACGAATGAAATTAACATCATAATTAAAAGAGCTAGATAAGCAAGAGCAAACTAATTCAAAAGCCAGCATGAGACAAGAAATAACTAAGATCAGAGCAGAACTGAAGGAGAAAGAGACACAAAAAACACTCCAAAATTCAATGAATGCAGGGGCTGTTTTTTTTTGAAAAAACTAACAAAATATACTGCTGGCTAGATCAATAAAAGAGAGAAGAATCAAATAGACACAATAAACAATGATAAAGGGGTATTGCCACTGACCCCACAGAAATAGAAACTACCATCAGAGAGTACTATAAACACCTCTATAAAAATAAACTACAAAATTTAGAAGAAATGGGTAAATTCTTGGACACATGAACCTCCCCAAGACTAAACCAAGAAGAGATCAAATCCCTGAATAGACCAATAACACGTTCTGAAATTGAGGCAATAATTCATAGCTTACCAACCCCAGAAAAGCCCAGGGCCAGACACATTCACAGCTGAATTTTACCAGAGGTACAAAGAAGACCTAGTACCATTCCTTCTGAATCTATTCCAAATAATTAAAAAGGAGGTACTCTTCCCTAACTTCATGTTATGAGTCCAGCATCATCCTGATAACCAAAACTTGGCAGAGACACTACAAAAAAAGAAAACCTCAGACCAATATCTGTGATGAACATTGATGTGAAAATCCTCAATAAAGTACTGGCAAACCAAATCCAGCAGAACATCAAAAAACTTATCCATCCACAATGATCAAGTCAGCTTAATCCCTGAGATGCAAGCCTGGTTCAACATATGTAAATCAATAAACATAATCCATCACATAAATAGAACCAAAGCAAAACCATATGATTATAGCAATAGATGCAGAAGAGGCCTTCAATAATAGATGCAGAAGAGGCCTTCAATAAAATTCAACATCCTTTCATGTTAAAAACACTTAGTAAACTAGGTGTTGATGGAAGATATCTCAAAATAAAAAGAGCTATTTATGACAAACCTGCAGCCAGTATGATATTGGATGGGCAAAAGCTGGAAGCATTCAGTTTGGAACCTGCTACAAACAAGGATGCTCTCTCTTAGCCGTCCTACTCAACATGATATTGGAAGTTCTGGCCAAGGCAATCAGGCCAGAGATTTACATAGGAAGGGAGGAAGTCAAATTGTCTCTGTTTACAGATGAGATATTTCTACATTTAGAAAACTCCATCATGTCAGCCCAAAAACTCCGTTAGCTGATAAGCAACTTCAGCAAAGTCTCAGGATACAAAAATTAATGTGCCCAAATCCCAGGCATTCCTTTACATCAGCAATACACAAGCAGAGAGCCAAATCTTGAATGAACTCCCATTCACGGTTGCTACAAAGAGAATAAAATACCTAGGAATACAGTTAACAAGGGATGTGAAGGACCTATTCAAGAAGAACTACAAACCAATGCTCAGGGAAATAAGACAGCACACAAACTAATGGAAAAACATTCCATCCTCATGGATAGGAAGAATCATTATTATAAAAATGGCCTTACTGCCCAAGGCAATTTATAGATTCAGTGCTATTCCCATCAAAGTACCATTGATGTTCTTCACAGAATAAAAAAAAAAAAAACTACTTTAAAGTTCATATGGAATGAAAGAACACCTTGTACAGCCAAGACAACCCTAAGCAAAAAGAACAAAGCTGGTGGCATCACACTACCTGACTTCTATACTGCAAGGCTACAGTAACCAAAATTTGGTACTGGTACCAAAACAGATACGTAGACTAATGGAACAAAACACAGATCTCAGAAATAATACTACACATCTACAACCATCTGATCTTTGACAAACCTGACAAAAACAAGCAATGGGGAAAGGATTCTCTATTTAATAAATGGTGTTAGGAACACTGGCTAGCCATATGCAGAGAACTAAAACTGGATCCCTTCCTTACACCTTATACAAAAATTAACTCAAGAGAGATTAAAGACTTAAATGTAAGACCTAAAGCCATAAAAACCCTAGGAGAAAACCTAAGCAATACCATTCAGGACATAGGCATGAGAAAAGAATTCATGAATAAAACACCAAAAGCAATTGCAACAAAAGCCAAAATTGACAAATGGGATTTAATTAAACTAAAGAGCTTCTGCATATCAAAAGAACCTATTATCTGAATGAACAGGCAACATACAGAATGGGAGAAAATCTTTGCAATCTATCCATCTGACAAAGGGCTAACATGCAGAATCTATGAGAAACTTAAACAAATGTACAAGACAAAAACAAACAACCCCATCAAAAAGTAGGCAAAGGATATGAACAGACATTTCTCAAAAAAAGACATTTATGCAGCCAATAAACATTGAAAAAAGGTCAACATCACTAATCTCAGAGAAACACAAATCAAAACCACAATGAGATACCATCTTATGCCAGTCAGAAAGGCAATTATTAAAAAGTCAAGAAAATACAGATGCTGGTGAGGCTGTGGAGAAACAGGAATGCCTTTACACTCTTTTTGGGAATGTAAATTAGTTTGACCATTGTGGAAGACAGTGTGGCAATTCCTCAAGCATCTAGTACCAGAAATACCATTTGACCCAGCAATCCCATTACAGTTTATACACCCAAAGAATATAAATAATTCTATTATAAAGACCTATGCACACGTATGTGTATTGCAGCACTATTTTCTTTTTTTTCTTTTATTATTATACTTTAAGTTTTAGGGTACACATGCACATTGTGCAGGTTAGTTACATATGTATACATGTGCCATGCTGGTGTGCTGCACCCACTAAATCGTCATCTAGCATTAGGTATATCTCCCAATGCTATCCCTCCCCTCTCCCCCCACCCCACAACAGTCCCCAGAGTGTGATGTTCCCCTTCCTGTGTCCATGTGATCTCATTGTTCAATTCCCACCTATGAGTGAGAATATGCGGTGTTTGGTTTTTTGTTCTTGCGACAGTTTACTGAGAATGATGAATTCCAATTTCATCCATGTCCCTACAAAGGACATGAACTCATCATTTTTTATGGCTGCATAGCATTCCATGGTGTATATGTGCCACATTTTCTTAATCCAGACTATCATTGTTGGACATTTGGGTTGGTTCCTAGTCTTTGCTATTGTGAATAGTGCCACAATAAACATACGTGTGCATGTGTCTTTATAGCAGCATGATTTATAGTCCTTTGGGTATGTACCCAGTAATGGGATGGCTGGGTCAAGTGGTATTTCTAGTTCTAGATCCCTGAGGAATCGCCACACTGACTTCCACAATGGTTGAACTAGTTTACAGTCCCACCAACAGTGTAAAAGTGTTCCTATTTCTCCACATCCTCTCCAGCACCTGTTGTTTCCTGACTTTTTAATGACTGACATTCTAACTGGTGTGAGATGGTATCTCATTGTGGTTTTGATTTGCATTTCTCTGATGGCCAGTGATGATGAGCACTTTTTCATGTGTTTCTTGGCTGCATAAATGTCTTCTTTTGAGGAGTGTCTGTTCATGTCCTTTGCCCATTTTTTGATGGGGTTGTTTGTTTTTTTTCTTGTAAATTTGTTTGAGTTCATTGTAGATTCTGGATATTAGCCCTTTGTCAGATGAGTAGGTTGCGAAAATTTTCTCCCATTTTGTAGGTTGCCTGTTCACTCTGATGGTAGTTTCTTTTGCTGTACAGAAGCTCTTTAGTTTAATTGGATCCCATTTGTCAATATTGGCTTTTGTTGCCATTGCTTTTGGTGTTTTAGACATGAAGTCCTTGCCCATGCCTATGTCCTGAATGGTATTGCCTAGGTTTTCTTCTAGGGTTTTTATGGTTTTAGGTCTAACGTTTAAGTCTTTAATCCATCTTGAACTGATTTTTGTATAAGGTGTAAGGAAGGGATCCAGTTTCAGCTTTCTACATATGGCTAGCCAGTTTTCCCAGCACCATTTATTAAATAGGGAATCCTTTCCCCATTGCTTGTTTTTCTCAGGTTTGTCAAAGATCAGATAGTTGTAGATATGCGGCATTATTTCTGAGGGCTCTGTGCTGTTCCATTGATCTATATCTCTGTTTTGGTACCAGTACCATGCTGTTTTGGTTACTGTAGCCTTGTAGTATAGTTTGAAGTCAGGTAGTGTGATGCCTCCAGCTTTGCTCTTTTGGATTAGGATTGACTTGGCGATGCAGGCTCTTTTTTGGTTCCATATGAACTTTAAAGTAGTTTTTTCCAATTCTGTGAAGAAAGTCATTGGTAGCTTGATGGGGATGGCATTGAATCTGTAAATTACCTTGGGCAGTATGGCCATTTTCACGATATTGATTCTTCCTACCCATCAGCATGGAATGTTCTTCCATTTGTTTGTATCCTCTTTTATTTCCTTGAGCAGTGGTTTGTAGCTCTCCTTGAAGAGGTCCTTCACATCCCTTGTAAGTTGGATTCCTAGGTATTTTATTCTCTTTGAAGCAATTGTGAATGGGAGTTCACTCATGATTTGGCTCTCTGTTTGTCTGTTGTTGGTGTATAAGAATGCTTGTGATTTTTGTACATTGATTTTGTATCCTGAGACTTTGCTGAAGTTGCTTGTCAGCTTATGGAGATTTTGGGCTGAGACAATGGGGTTTTCTAGATATACTATCATGTCGTCTGCAAAGAGGGACAATTTTACTTCCTCTTTTCCTAATTGAATATCCTTTATTTCCTTCTCCTGCCTAATTGCCCTGGCCAGAACTTCCAACACTATGTTGAATAGGAGTGGTGAGAGATGGCATCCCTTTCTTGTGCCAGTTTTCAAAGGGAATGCTTCCAGTTTTTGCCCATTCAGTATGATATTGGCTGTGGGTTTGTCATAGATAGCTCTTATCATTTTGAGATATGTCCCACCAATACCGAATTTATTGAGAGTTTTTAGCATGAAAGTTATTGAATTTTGTCAAAGGCCTTTTCTGCATCTATTGAGATAATCATGTGGTTTTTGTCTTTGGCTCTGTTTATATGCTGGATTATATTTATTGATTTGCGTATATTGAACCAGCCTTGCATCCCAGGGATGAAGCCCACTTGATCATGGTGGATAAGCTTTTTGATGTGCTGCTGGATTTGTTTTGCCAGTATTTTATTCAGGATTTTTGCATCAATGTTCATCAAGGATATTGGCCTAAAATTCTCTTTTTTGGTTGTGTCTCTGCCAGGCTTTGGTATCAGAATGAAGCTGGCCTCATAAAATGAGTTAGGGAGGATTCCCTCTTTTTCTATTGATTGGAATACTTTCAGAAGTCATGGTACCAGTTCCTCCTTATACCTCTGGTAGAATTCGGCTGTGAATCCATCTGGTCCTGGACTCTTTTTCGTTCGTAAGCTACTGATTATTGCCACAATTTCAGATCCTGTTATTGGACTACTCAGAGATTCAACTTCTTCCTGGTTTAGTCTTGGGAGAGTGTATGTGTCGAGGAATTTATCCATTTCTTCTAGATTTTCTAGTTTATTTGCGTAAAGGTGTTTGTAGTATTCTCTGATGGTAGTTTGTGTTTCTGTGGAATCATTGGTGATATCCCCTTTATCATTTTTTATTGCGTCTATTTGATTCTTCTCTCATTTTTCTTTATTAGTCTTGCTAGCGTTCTATCTATTTTGTTGGTCCTTTCAAAAAACCAGCTCCTGGATTCATTAATTTTTTGAAGGGTTTTTTGTGTCTCTATTTCCTTCAGTTCTGCTCTGATTTTAGTTATTTCTTGCCTTCTGCTAGCTTTTGAATGTGTTTGCTCTTGCTTTTCTAGTTCTTTTAATTGTGATGTTAGGGTGTCAATTTCAGATCGTGCCTGCTTTCTCTTGTGTGCATCTAGTGCTATAAATTTCCTTCTACACACTGTTTTGAATGGGTCTCAGAGATTCTGGTATGTTGTGTCTTTGTTCTCTTTGGTTTCAAAGAACATCTTTATTTCTGCCTTCATTTCATTATGTACCCAGTAGTCATTCAGGAGCAGGTTGTTCAGTTTCCATGTAGTTGAGCAGTTTTGAGTGAGATTCTTAATCCTGAGTTCTAGTTTGATTGCACTGTGGTCTGAGAGATAGTTTGTTATAATTTCTGTTCTTTTACATTTGCTGAGGAGAGCTTTACTTCCGAGTATGTGGTCCATTTTGGAATAGGTGTGGTGTGGTGCTGAAAAAAACGTATATTCTGTTGATTTGGGGTGGAGAGTTCTGTACATGTCAATTAGATCCACTTGGTGCAGAGCTGAGTTCAATTCCTGGATATCCTTGTTGACTTTCTGTCTCGTTGATCTGTCTAATGTTGACAGTGGGGTGTTAAAGTCTCCCATTATTAATGTGTGGGAATCTAAGTCTCTTTGTAGGTCACACAGGACTTGCTTTATGAATCTGGGTGCTCCTGTATTGGGTGCATATATATTTAGGATAGTTAGCTCTTCTTGTGAATTGATCCCTTTACCATTATATAATGGCCTTCTTTGTCTCTTTTGATCTTTGTTGGTTTAAAGTCTGTTTTATCAGAGATTAGGATTGCAACCCCTGCCTTTTTTTGTTTTCCATTTGCTTGGTAGATCTTCCTCCATCCTTTTATTTTGAGCCTATGTGTGTCTCTGCACGTGAGATGGGTTTCCTGAATACAGCACACTGATGGGTCTTGACTCTTTATCCAATTTGCCAGTCTGTGTCTTTTAATTGGAGCATTTAGTCCATTTACATTTAAAGTTAATATTGTTATGTGTGAATTTGATCCTGTCATTATGATGTTAGCTGGTGATTTTGCTCATTAGTTGATGCAGTTTCTTCCTAGTCTCGATGGTCTTTACATTTTGGCATGATTTTGCAGCGGCTGGTACCGGTTGTTCCTTTCCATGTTTAGCACTTCCTTCAGGAGCTCTTTTAGGGCAGGCCTGGTGGTGACAAAATCTCTCAGCATTTGCTTGTCTGTAAAGTATTTTATTTCTCCTTGACTTCTGAAGCTTAGTTTGGCTGGATATGAAATTCTGGGTTGAAAATTCTTTTCTTTAAGTTATTGTCCCCCACTCTCTTCTGGCTTGTAGGGTTTCTGCCGAGAGATCTGATGTTAGTCTGATGGGCTTCCCTTTGAGGGTAACCCGATCTTTCTCTCTGGCTGCCCTTAACATTTTTTCCTTCATTTCAACTTCGGTGAATCTGACAATTATGTGTCTTGGAGTTGCTCTTCTCAAAGAGTATCTTTGTGGCGTTCTCTGTATTTCCTGAATCTGAACGTGGGCCTGCCTTGTTAGATTGGGAAAGTTCTCCTGGATAATAGCCTGCAGAGTGTTTTCCAACTTGGTTCCATTCTCCCTGTCACTTTCAGGTACACCAATCAGATGTAGATTTGGTCTTTTCACATAGTCCCATATTTCTTGGAGGCTTTGCTCATTTCTTTTTATGCTTTTTTCCCTAAACTTCCCTTCTCGCTTCATTTCATTCATTTCATCTTCCATTGCTGATACCGTTTCTTCCAGTTGATCGCATCGGCTCCTGAGGCTTCTGCATTCTTCACGTAGTTCTCGAGCCTTGGTTTTCAGCTCCATCATCTCCTTTAAGCACTTCTCTGTATTGATTATTCTAGTTATACATTCTTCTAAATTTTTTTCAATGTTTTCAACTTCTTTGCCTTTGGTTTGAATGTCCTCCCGTAGCTCTGAGTAATTTGATCATCTGAAGCCTTCTTCTCTCAGCTGGTCAAAGTCGTCCTCCGTCCAGCTTTGTTCCGTTGCTGGTGAGGAACTGCGTTCCTTTGGAGGAGGAGAGGCAGTCTTCTTTTTAGAGTTTCCAGCTTTTCTGTTCTGTTTTTTCCCCATCTTTGTGGTTTTATCTTCTTTTGGTCTTTGATGATGGTGATGTACAGATGGGTTTTTGGTGTGGATGTCCTTTCTGTTTGTTAGTTTTCCTTCTAACAGACAGGACCCTCAGCTGCAGGTCTGTTGGAGTACCCTGCCGTGTGAGGTGTCAGTGTGCCCCTGCTGGGGGGTGCCTCCCAGTTAGGCTGCTCGTGAGTCAGGGGTCAGGGACCCACTTGAGGAGGCAGTCTGCCCATTCTCAGATCTCCAGCTGCGTGCTGGGAGAACCACTGCTCTCTTCAAAGGTGTCAGACAGGGACATTTAAGTCTGCAGAGGTTACTGTTGTCTTTTTGCTTGTCTGTGCCCTGCCCCCAGAAGTGGAGCCTACAGAGGCAGGCAGGCCTCCTTGAGCTGTGGTGGACTCCACCCAGTTTGAGCTTCCCGGCTGCTTTGTTTACCTAAGCCAGCCTGGGCAATGGCGGGACCCCCACCCCCAGCCTCACTGCCGCCTTGCAGTTTGATCTCAGACTGCTGTGCTAGCAATCAGCGAGACTCCGTGGGCGTAGGACCCTCCAAGCCAGGTGCGGGTTATAATCTGGTGCCGCACTGTTTTTTAAGCCCATCGGAAAAGCGCAGTATTTGGGTGGGAGTGACCCGATTTTCCAGGTGTGTCTGTCACCCCTTTTTTTGACTCGGAAAGGGAACTCCCTGACCCCTTGCACTTCCCAAGTGAGGCAATGCCTCACCCTGCTTCGGCTCGCGCACGGTGCGCGCACCCACTGACCTGCGCCCACTGTCTGGCACTCCCTAGTGAGATGAACCCGGTACCTCAGATGCAAATGCAGAAATCACCCGTCTTTTGTGTTGCTCAGGCTGGGAGCTGTAGACCGGAGCTGTTCCTATTCCGCCATCTTGGCTCTGGGATCTGCAGCACTATTTTCAAGAGCAAAGACATGAACAACCCAAATGCCCATCAATGATAGACTGGATAAAAAAAAAATGTGGTACATATACTCAATAGGATACTATGCAGCCATAAAAGGAAATGAGATCATGTCCTTTGAAGGAACATGGATAGATCTAGAAGCCAGCATCCTCAGCAAACTTACACAGGGACAGAAAACCAAACACCAATGTGGAGACATGTGCCATTTGAGTAACTTGAAATTTTAAATGAAACTTCTCTCCATTCCAATCATTTAGAGAATGATTATATGGTTATGGTACTCAATATCACTGCCACAACACATTACACTTCTTCCAATACAAAAATTATATCATGAAAAAAATGATGAAATTGTGCATCTTATTTGCAAGAAATGTCAAGCTTACCACCTCCTTTCTCAACTCCACACAAAATAAAAATAAGACTTTTTCCCTAAATATGAAGTGTTTCCCTTGGTAGTAAAGAATAGCAGAGAATACCAAGAATGACTTTAAGGTCAAGACTTTTTAAAAGAGTACAATATAGTAGAAGACTGTATTAATTAGAAAAAATAACTGAGATCCTACTATGAGCAGTTTAACATGGGACTCACAAGAGAAAAATGACTTCAGTTTCCTACATTTCCAAAAGATAGTGGCATTTAGTAGTACTCCACATTGTTTTAATAAAATAACAATCAGCTTATGTCTGTTGTAAAACTCTTATTAGCTGGAGTTTTTACTTATTTTTATTAGGTAGCTTCCAATTTCTTTTGCCCCCATTTGATCTGAAGCATTATCAGCAAGGGTCATTGGCTGACATTTACATAATCAAAAATACATCCCTGTTGGGAAAAGTCCATGCTGGCATCATGTGAAACACCTGACTCTTCTAGATGATAATTATTGAGGAATAAGATTGGGCTGGGAGTGATAAAGAGTTAAAGAGAAAAGAAAGGATTAGTTATTTGGGTTCAAAACATTTGCCTTGACAAATCACACTTAAATCCTCTATTTTTTTTTTTTTTACAAAAAATCTCAATCAATAAAGCCCATTTACAAATATCATGTCTCTATTGTCAATAAAAACACCATAGGACCCAGAATTCACTTCATTATTAATTTTAAAAATGAGCAATATTAAAATATCTCAATTCCTCCAAGCAATCAAATTTTGTTTGCCTCTCCAAATAATTTTCCATGCTTCATTTTTGGCCATGGAATGTAGAGGCCCTGGGGGTCAGTCAAGCAGCCACAGAAGCACAAAGATAACTTTTCAATGTGGTAGTAGGATGTGCAGCCTCCATTACCAAAGCATCTCATTCACAGTCATGACCATTTCCTATGTGCTGTGGAAACTTGGACAAAGTTTTTGGCCTCTCTACACCTCATCCATAAAACGCACTATTGTGAGTATACCCCTCCATAAAATGCACTAATATCATCCTCTGAGTTCTTTCATATTAATGAATCCCAAACTCAATACATGTTGGCTACAGTTCTTATATTCAGAAAGGGCTTTGTCCTGCCTCTGTAGACCCTCAAAGGATATACTACATATTTGGAAGCAGGAGTGATACACAGTTTGACATAAAATGGAAGTTTTTGATGCCAAAGGCACTAAAGTACATAATGTCTGCCATTTATCAATGCATCACTTCTGTGTAGCCACCTGAACACTTCCCTTACTGAATTTGACCATGCATGATCTTTGCCTTCTTCTACCTGATATCCCCAGACACTGTTCTTTGCTGCCTCCAAGACAAGCCTTCATTCTCAGTTCACCCCTCTGAGGGTAACAGGAGAGCAAATCGACCAGGTGAGTGGTGTCATGGGGACACAAGGATTGGTGGAGGCTAAACCTTGAGAACACCTCTCTCTTCATGTCTTCCTTTCACTTTCTTTCTAGGGTTGGGCCTTTGTGTACAGTGCCTCCGAACTCAGACCATTTCCATGTCAGTCTGGGATTGGCACAGTTCAGCTAATTCCACTTTATAAGGATTTCTTCACCAAGCCAATTTCCTTTAAATAAGTGCTTCTTAACCAGGGACTGTTTGTATCATAGGGGAACTTGGGCAATGTCTGGAGTCACAACAGGGGATTTGGCAGAGTCGGGTGGCAGTTGGAGAGGTGCTCTCAGTATCTCCTGGGTGAATGCCAGGACTGCTGCTAATTATCTTACAATTCACAGAACTCTCCTTCTGCAACTTAATTTTTCCTGACCATTTGCCCTCCCAAATATATACTAGAGAGCTAACTATAACTTAAAATGAAGAAACCCTAACCCAATAACTGCTTTGCAATTGCATGAGGGAGCTTCCTTTTGTGCTAAGCTGCCAAAGATGGGGAGGACAACTCTACAAATATGGGCAAGTATCCCCATGCCAGCATTGCTATGACAACTGGGGAAAGACCATCTATCCCAGCTTTGAGTGTGAACCTGCTCATGGATGGTCCTCATGCCTTCTCTGGTTCCAAAGGATGGATGGAAAACAAAGAAACGCAAGTCCAGTGCTCGTAGAAACCACAAGGCCCTGTCTTTCTCTCACTGATTAGTTCAATGAAATAATCATGTGTTTTAGGAGACCCAGGCCTTGGCCCTCCCCTATCTTCCTTCCCAGACAGCCCACTGAACACACACTCAACACATACAGAAAGCCCATTTCAAGAAGCATTCTGAAATTCACCGAGAATGACAAGAATAATAAGGCTACTTATATATCCCTACCATGACATTGAAGCAGAACTAATTGGCTTGCATACTCTCTCTACCGGCCATTTAGTGCTCACATTAAAATAGATGACAAAGTTCAAATATCCCAGTAGCTTCCTGCACTGCAGCCTCTACAAATGTTAGCTATCAAGGCAGCAGTCCAAACTGGCTCCTTCCATAGGGTCCTGACTAGAGAGGAACATGTTTACAAATTTGTGCAGCTGGATGCAATAATAAATTCAGGCTCTGCAGGTTTACAAAATCCCATTTTCTCCCTGTGATTAGAAACTTGGAATCAATTTGGTTTCTACAAATGATTTTTCTTAATTTGGAAGTAGGTACACAAGCAGATTCAAAATCTATTTTAAAAGACAACTGTCAATTTTTAAAGCACTGACTAAACATTGCTAAATTGTGCAGTTCTTATCAGCAGAATTTACAAAGCCACTTGGAAAGCAAAGGGATTTACTGTTTTGTGGCTTTTTTTCCACACTGACACTGTGGACAGTGACAGTAACAGTTATCCAAAAATCTGCAATTACCACAACATTAGTTGAATTGATAGTTGCTATTACTGTAAATAATCAGAATCACAATAAAAAGTCTATGCCTACAAAATGGAATCATTCAATAACTGTAAATAATTATAATCTAAGAACATCAAATGTTCTTCAAAAGCAACTTGGCTTTTAATAAGTTAAATAATTTATATATATTTAAATTATGTTTATCATGACATGTGTACAAGATAGAGAGAGGAAGAAATCTGCAGGTGAATTGAAGTAGCCTGATCACACTGTTTAAGGTAATAAATCACCAATCTGTTGAAAAGCTAGTGATTTCACTTTCTTGGTGTTAAAAACAATTCACCAAATAAACCAATCTTACTTTAGGAAGGATTCAAAGCGGATTTTACTTGTAGTGATATAAGATACCTGTGATATAAGATACCAGCAAGTATCTTATTATGCTGTATAGTTTCATAACATTCAAAATTAATAATATGAAAAGATGACTTTTGAGGTTCTTTCTATGAAATCATTAAAAAAAAACCCTGGAATCATTAAAAAAAGTAAGGTTTGCACCAAAGTCTGCCTTTATTGTATGCAAACAACAAAACCAAAGTTTTCTGAACCAGTCATTTGTCTTTGCTGCATGGAGTGGCCACAGGACAAAGTTGGATCACATTTTGTGGTTCCATATCAGTACCCTAATTGCTTATAAATGTCATAGAATCTTGATCCTTCATCATACTAAGGAAAAGGGCAACCTATGCCCTTGTCACCAATTGTCAGTCATTATATAGTACCCAATGATTGAGACCCAAAGAGAGGCTCCTTAGCAAGGATGTTTCAGCTCAGTTCTGTCCTGGATTAGCCTGGTGACACTGCCAATGTCTGATCTACTGTGAACCTCAGTTTTCTTACCTCTAGCAAGGAAAATGCTGGACAGGAATATCACTAAGACCCATACAGCAGTAACATTATAAGCTAATGTGCATGTTAGAGTCAAACTCCATTGATTTTCAAATTCTGAGAAAATAGCCAAAAGGAATGGTGTAGAAGAAATGGTGGGTCCTTACTGTAATTTGTTCTGAGCTTTCAATAAATATTTAAATGTCTTGGCATATGTAATATTCCCATGAGCCAGGTTTGAAGATTGAATTTTCTCCTAAACCAACGGGCAGGCACAGTGGGACGGTAATTTGAACCACCTGAACTTTGAGGTTAAAAGAGACTCAAGTGCCAGAGCACACTGAGTGAGTCCCTCCAATGCTATTGTTTCTCTCCTTCTTTCCTGCTTATGTTCACCTTTCCCAGATGCTGCTCTGGGATTAGTACCCCCTGGAATCTTTCATGTCTTCCTGGCTTGGGTCCTACCTTGCTTCTAGCAGTAGGCACAAAACACAGAGCCTGAAATACACACACCCTATCTTCTTACCTCTCCAGAGTTCTTACACCTCAGCAATAGCAGCAGCTCCAGGCAGTAGTGAGCCCCCATGCTCCCCACACAGAGCTCCTGTGCAGTATGGGAACAGAGAAGGAGAAGGGAGGCAGGGAGGGGATACTGCTCAAAGTGCTAGAGGAGCTGGCTGGGTAGGCTTCCTGTCTGGAATGCACAACTAAAGGCCTTGGGATGGAGAGAGCCTTGGATCACTGTGACCTTCTGAGTCAGACACCTTAGGGATCTCTCAGTTCTGAAATTCCTCCCTAGGCACAGAAGGCTGAGAGCCCCCAAGCACTCACCAGGGAGAAAAGTATAAAAGTTAGAAAGTTGAGGTAAAGGAGACAGACATATGCCAGTTAACAGTAGATGGTAGAAATATGAATGCTGGAGGGAACAAATCATTTGAATGAAATGCTCACGCACGAATCTGATGAGAGACTTCTATCCAGAATATAGAGAACTCTTATAATTTAATAGTAAAAGACAAACTAATTAAAAATAAGAAACAAATTTGAAGATGGCCAAATAGGAACAGCTCCATTCTGCAGCTCCCAGCAAGACCAACACAGAAGGCAGGTGATTTCTTCATTTCAAACTGAGATCCCCAGTTCACCTCACTGGGACTAGTTAAACAGTGAGTGCTGCCCACAGAGAGCAAGCAGGAGCAGGGTGGGTTGTTACCTCACCCAGAAAGTGTAAGGGGATGGGGATCTCTTTCCCCTAGCCAAGAGAAGCCTTGAGGGACTGAGCTATCCAGCCCAGATACTATGTTTTTTCCCATGGTTTTGACAACCCGCAGACCAAGAGATTCCCACATGTGCTTACACAACCAAGGCCCTGGGTTTCAAGCACAAAATTGGGACACTCAGCTATCTACAGCAGGTTTTTTTCATACCCAGTGACACCTGGAACTACAGTGAGACAGAACCGCTCACTCCCCTGGAAAGGGGGCTGAAGCCAGGGAGCCATCTGGTCTTGCTCAGTGGGTACCACTCCCATGGAGCCCAGCAAGCTAAGCACCACTGGCTTAAAATGCTCACTACCAGCACAGCAGTGTGAAGTCGAACTGGGATGATCGAGCCTGGTCGGGGGAGGGGTGTCCACCATTATTGAGGCTTGAGTAGGTTGTTTTCCCCTCACAATGTTAAGGAAGCTGCCAGGAAGTTTGGACTACACTTAACTCACTGCAGTGTGCAGCAAAGTGGCTGTGGCCAGATGGCCTATCTGGATTACTCCTCACTGGGCAGGGCATCTCTGAAAGAAAGGCAGCAGCCCCCATCAGGCGCTTACAAATAAAACTCCCGTCTCCCTGGGACAGAGCTCCTGGGGGAAGGGTCAGCTGTAGGCACAGCTTAAGCCAATTTAAATGTTCCTGTCGTCTGGCTCTGAAGACAGATCTCCCAGCACAGTACTTGAGCTCTGCTAAGGGACAGACTGCCTCCTCAAGTGGGTCCCTGTCCCCTGTGCCTGCTGACTGGGAGATACCTCCCACCAGGGGTCCACAGACACTTCATACAACAGAGCTCCAGTTGGCATCAGGCTGATGTCCCTCTGGGATGAAGCTTCCAGAGGAAGGAGCAGGCAGCAATGTTTGCTGTTCTACAGCTTCTGCTGGTAATACCCAGGAAAACAAGGTCTGGAGTGGACCCCCACCAAATTCCAGCAGACCTGCAGATGACAGGCCAGACTGTTAGAATGAAAACTAACAAACAGAAAGCAATAATATCAACATCAACAAAAAGGACACCCATGCAAAAACCCCATCCAAAGGTCACCATCATCAAAGATCACAGGTAGATAAATCCAGGAAGATGAGAAAAAGTGCAAAAATGCTAAAAATTCCAAAAACCAGAATGCTGCTTCTCCTCCAAATGATTGCAACTCCTCTCCAGCAAGGACAAAAGCTGGATGGAGAATGAGTTTGACAAACTGGCAGAAGTATGGTTCAGAGGTGGGTAATAGCAAACTCCTCTGAGCTAAAGGACCATGTTCTAACCCAAAGCAAGGAAGATAAGAACCTTGAAAAAAAAGTTACAGAAACTGTTAACTAGAATAATCTGTTACAGAAGAACATAAATGACCTGATGGAGCTGAAAATCACAGTATGAGAACTACATGAAGCATACATAAGTATCAACAGTTGAATTGATCAGGTAGAAGAAAGGATATCAGAGATTGAAGATCAACTTAATGAAATAAAGTGTGAAGACAAATTAGAGAAAAAGGAATGAAAAGGAATGAACAAAACCTCCAAGATATATGGGACTATGTGAAAAGACCAAACCTAAGATTGACTGGTGTACCTGAAAGTGAGGGGGAGAATGGAACCAGGAAAACTTCCCCAACCTTGTAAGACAGGCCAACATTCAAATTCAGAAAATACAGAGAACACCACTAAGATACTCATCGAGAGGAACAACCCCAAGACACATAATCATCAGATTCTCCAAGGGTGAAATGAAGGAAAAAATGTTAAGAGCAGCCACAGAAAAAGGGGAAGTGACCTACAAAGGGAAGCCCATCAAACTAACAGTGGATCTCTCTGTAGCAACTCCACAAGCCAAAAGAGAGTAGGGGCCTATATACAACATTCTTAAAGACAAAATTTTCAACCCAGAATTTCATATCCAGCCAAACTAAGTTTCATAAGTGAAGTAGAAATAAAATCCTTTCCAGAGAAGCAAATGCTGAGGGATTTTGTCACCACCAGGCCTGCCTTATGAGAGCTCCCAAAGGAAGCACTAAATATGAAAAGGAAAAACCAGTACCAGCCATTGCAAAAACATTCCAAAATGTAAAGACCAATGACACTATGAAGAAACTGCATCTACTAATGTGCAAAATGACCAGCTAGCATCAGGAAGACAAGATCAAATTCATGTATAACAATATTAAACTTAAATGTAAATGGGCTAAATGCCCCAGTTAAAAGACACAGACTGGCAAACTGGATAAACAGTTAAGACCCATTGGTGTGCTGTATTCAGGAGACTCATCTCATGTGCAAACACACACATAGGCTCAAAATAAAGGGATGGAGGAAAACGTACAAAGCAAATGGAAAGAAAACAAAAAAAAAGCAGGGGTTACAATCCCAGACTGATGAAACAGCCTTTAAACCAACAAAGATAAAAAAAAGACAAAGAAGAGCATTACATAATGGTAAACGGATTATTTCAATAAGAAGCGCTAACTATCCTAAATACATATATGCACCCAATACAGGAGCACCCAGATTCATAAAACAAGTTCTTAGAGTCCTACAATGAAACTGAGACTCCCACACAATAATAGTAGGAGAATGTAACACTCCACTGTCAATATTACACAGATCAAAGAGACAGAAAAGTAACAAGGATATATTCAGGACTTGAACTCAGCACTGGACCAAGTGGACCTAATAGATATCTCCAAAACTCTCCAACCCAAATCAACAGGATATACATTTGTCTCAGCATCACATCACCCTTATTCTAAAACCGACCACATAATTGGAAGTAAAACACTTCTAAGCAAATGCAAGAGAAGAGAAAGCATGACAAAGAGTCATTCAGAACACAGTGCAATCAAATTAGAACTCAGGATTAAGAAATTCACTCAAACCGCTCAACTACATGGAAACTGAAAAACCTATGCTCCTGAATAACTACTGGGTAAATTATGAAATTAAGGCAGATAAATAAGTTCTTTGAAACCAATGAGAACAAAGAGATGACATATCAGAATCTCTGGGACACAGCTAAAGCACTGGTAAGAGGGAAATTTATAGCTCTAAATACCCACATGAGAAAGTGGAAAAGGTCCAAAATCAACACCCTAACATCACAGTTAAAGAACAAAAGAAGCAATAGCAAAGAAATTCAAAAGCTGGAAGAACCCAATAAATAACCAAGGTGACAGCTGAATTGAAGGAGATAGAGACATGAAAAATCCTTCAAAAAAATCAATGAATACAGGAGATGGTTTTTTGAAAAGATTAACAAAATAGATGGGCCACTAGCCAGATTAATAAAGAAGAAAAGAGAGAAGAATCATACAGACACAATAAAAAATAATAAGGGGGATATCACCACTGGTCCCACAGAAATACATACTACCATCAGAGAATACTATAAACACCTCTACTCAAATAAACTAGAAAATCTAGAAAAAATTGATAAATTCATAGACACATGTACCCTCCCAAGACTAAACCAGGAAGGAGTCCAATCCCTGAACAGAAAAATAACAAGTTCTGAAATTGAGAAAGTAATTAATAGCCTACCAACCAAAAAATGCCCAAGACCTGACAGATTCATAGTGGAATTCTACCGGATGTACAAAAAGGAACTGGTACCGTTCGTTCTGAAACTATTCCAAACATTAGAAAAAGAGGGACTTCTCCCTAACTCATTTTATGAGACCAGCAACATCCTGATACCAAAACCTGGCAAAGACACAATAAAGGAAAATAAAATTTCAGGCCAATATCCCTGATGAACATTTACATGAAAATCCTAAATACTGGCAAAACAAGTCCAGCAACTCATTGAAAAGCTTATCCACTATGATCAAGTTGGCTTCATTCCTGGGTTGCAAGGCTGGTTCAACATACAGAAATCAATAAATGTAATCCATCAGGTAAACAGAACAAATGACAAAAAACACGTGATTACCTCAGTACATGGAGAAAAGAACTTCCATAAAATTCAACATAAATTCATTCTAAAAACTCTCAATAAACTAGGTATTGATGGAATGTATCTCAAAATTGTAAGCGCTATTTATGACAAACCCACAGCCAATAACATACTGAATGGGCAAAAGCTAGAAGCATTTCCTTTGAAAACCAGCACAAGACAAGGATGCCCTCTGTCACCACTCTACTTCAACAAAGTATTGGAGGCTCTGGCCAGGGCAATCAGGCAAGACCAAGAAATAAAGGGTATGCAAATAAAGGGAATTCAAACTGTTTCCGTTTGCAGATGACATGGCTGTATATTTAGAAAGCCCCATTGTCTTGGTCTAAAATCCCCTTAAGCTGATAAGCAACTTCAGCAAAGTCTCAGGATACAAAATCAATGTGCAAAAATCACAAGCATTCCTATACACCAATAATAAAGAAACAGAGAGCCAAATAATGAGTAAACTCACATTCATAATTGCTACAAAGAGAATAAAATACCTAGGAATACAACTTATAAAAGATGTAAAGGACCTCTTCAAGGAGAACTACAAACTACTGCTCAAGGAAATAAGAGAGGACACAAACAAATGGAAAAATGTTCCATGCTCATGGATAGGAAGAATCAATATTTTGAAAATGGCCACACTGCTCCAAGTAATTTATAGATTCAATGCTATCCCCATCAAGCTACCAATGACTTTCTTCACAGAATTAGAAAAACTACTTTAAGTTTCATATGGAACCAAAAAAGAGCCCGCATAGCTAAGACAATCCTAAGCAAAAAAGAACAAAGCTGGAGGCATCATGCTACCTGACTTCAAACTATACTACAAGGCTATGGAAACCAAAACAGCATAGTACTGGTACCAAAACAGCAAGGTACTGGTACCAAAACAGGTATGTAGACAACTGGAACAGAACAGCAGCCTCAGAAATAATACAACACATCTACAACCATCTGATCTTTGACAAACCTGACAGAAATAAGCAATGGGGAAAGGATACCCTATTCAATAAATGGTGTTGGGAAAACTGGCTAGCCACATGCAGAAAACTAAAACTGAACCCTTTCCTTACACCTTATACAAAAATTAACTCAAGATGGATTAAAGACTTAACTGTAAGACCTAAAACCATAAAAACCCTAGGAGAAAACCTAGGCAATACCATTCAGGACATAGGCATGTACAAAGACTTCATAACTAAAACACCAAAAGCAACTGCAACAAAAAGCCAAAATTGACAAATGGGATCTAATTAAACCAAAGAGTTTCTGCACATCAAAAGAAACTCTCACCAGAGTGAACAGGCAACCTACAGAATGGGAACAATTTTTGCAATCTATCCATCTGACAAAGGGCTAATATCCAGAATCTACAAAGAACTTAAACAAATTTGCAAGACAAAAACAACTCTATCAAAAACTGGGTGAAGGATATGAAAGACACTTCTCAAAAGAAGACATTTATGCAGCCAACAAACATGAAAAAAAGCTCATCATCCCTGGTCGTTAGAGAAATGCAAACAAAATCCATAGTGATATACCATCTCATGCCAGTTAGAATGGTGATCATTAAAAAGTCAGGAAACAACAGATGCTGGAGAGAATGTGGAGAAATAGAAACACTTTTATACTGTTGTTGGGAGTGTAAATTAGTTCAGCTATTGTGGAAGATAGTGCGGCAATTCCTCAAAGATCTAGAACTAGAAATAACATTTGACCCAACAATCCCATTACTGAATATATACCCAAAGAATTATAAACAATTCTACTATAAACAAACATGCACACGTATGTTTATTGCAGCACTGTTCACAATAGTGAAGACTTGGAACCAACCCAAATGTCCATCAATGATAGACTGGAATAAGAAACTGTGGCACGTATATACCATGGAATACTATGCAGCCATAAAAAAGAATGAGTTCATGTCCTTTGCAGGGACATGGATGAAGCTGGAAACCATCATTCTAAGCAAACTATCACAAGGACAGAAAACCAAACACCACATTTTCTCACTCATAGGTGGTTGTTGAACAATTAGAACACATGAACACAGGGAGGGAAACATCACATACTGGGGCCTGTCAGGGGTTTGAGCGGGCAGGTCAGGGAGAGCATTAGGAGAAGTACCTAATATAGATGACAGGTTGATGGGTGCAGCAAACCACCATGGTACATGTATACCTATGTAGCAAACCTACACATTCCTCACATGTACCCCAGAACATAAAGTATAATAATAAAAATAAATAATCAAAATTAAAAAAAGAAGAGGTATTAGAAAGAAGTTTTTAATGGCAGCTTCGTCATCTTTTCAATTCAACTAATCCTATTACACAACACAAGTACAAATATCAAACTTTAATAATGAAGTTCATGAAGGCTAACAAGCTTGGGCAATGTTGGCACTAGAGTTATGAGATTATTATGGGAAGCTCTTGAACCTGGTGCTAGAGCGATGATTCATTAGTTCTCTGTAAGATGGTAAAGATTTTATGGATCAACATGGAAGAAGTCATTTTTCAATATTTCACAAGCCTGGCTTGGGTATTCAACAATTTGACACTCTTAGCTGCAGCAGCGACCACAGTTTGCTTAGCCAGTGGCAACACATAAGAGTGACAAATTAGAAAATACGAAGCAATTGTTTTCCTCACCTGCCTGAGTTTAGGTAATTAACAACAGCTGTTTTAATGAATTGATTAATTTAATAATTGAATAATTCGTGAGGCCACCATTATTTCTGTTCTCCTTCTAACAAGTCATTCAAGAATTGCCATCTCTGTTAAAGTATAGTCATGTTTCACTTAATGATGGGGATACATTCTGAGAAAAGCATCATGACGTGATTTTGTTGTGAGCATCATAGAGTGTATTTACACAAACACCTAAGCATTATCATTCTGTGGGGGAGACACACAGAAAGATATATAAAAAAAGGTACAGGAAGCCTTCCCAATGATGTAGTACACTAGGAAGTGAAAACGATAGATGTACTTACACAAACCTACTACACACCTAGGCTGGATGGTACAGCCTATTGCTCCTAGAATGCAGACCCATACATCATTTTACTGTACTGAATACTATAGGTAACTGTAACATAATGGTAAGAATTTGTGTATCTAAACATATCTAAACATAGAAAAGGTACAGTACCAGTATGTTATTATAATCTTATGAGATCACTGTTGTCTGTGTGGTCCGTTGTTGACAGAAACATCCTTATTTGGCACATGACTGCATATTAACAAGCAGATTCCACCTACCATTTTTCAATAACAACAACAACCACATGAACAACACCAAAAGCTAACAATTTTTTAGCACTGACTACATGCCAGCCACTGTTGTAAGCACATCTCATGGTGTTCCATCAAGTGAGTGAGGCTGGGGGTTGTCAGCAATGGGGTCAAAAAGTGCAAAGCTTCAGAAAGGAGGAAGACATTTATTTTTTGTTTTGTTTTGTGTTTTTTTTTCTTGTTGCTGTTGTTGTTTTGAGACCTACTGCACAGCATGGTGAATATAGATAATAACTGAGTATTGTACATTTCATAATTACTGAGAATAAATTTCAAATGTTCTCATCACAAAAAAGGTTAAATATTTGGAATGATGGATATGTTAATCACCTCAATTTAATCATTACACATTGTATTCAAAAATCATAGCATCACTTTTTACTGAATAAACACAATTATAATTTTTCAATATATAATTTTAAAAATTTGAGAGCCTACTAGATTTCTCAAGGGTTAACGAGATGCATATAGGTCTTAGAACTCCAGAACGCACAACTATCTCCTTGGCATCTCTGAAGAGGATGGACTTACATTGAAAACCAGTTAAACACAATCTTTCACACATTCTCACAAATATTAACTTATGGCATCCTGTGTGTCAGGCACAGAGCTCTATGCTCCAAATGTGTTTACTCATCTAATCATCACAACACCAACACTGTTCCCACTTTACAGAGAGTTAATGGAAGGGTGGGTAAACTTGCTCATAGACCCACAGCAAGAAAGCAGCAGAGTCAAAATCAAGAGAATAGATTTAGCTCATCACTTGGAGTCATTCAGTAAATGGTGTCGCCATCTTGACACCCAAAAAGAAAACTGCAGGATCCCTCTCTTCTTCGTCTCTGTTCTCTCGGAGTTAGAATAATGCCTGGTCCATGTTCAGCCTGGTAGAGTTTTGTTGGGACTCAGAAAAAGTTACCTCAAAATGAAGACATACTGCTGAGTAGTTTTAGAAGCAAAAGTTTCTCTCTGGTCTTCTCCTGTCCTCCTGTATGTCAGCTCTCACTCTATTTTGCCCTGAGGCTAGAAATAGAAACTAGAATCCCTTTTCCCCAAGATAGGTCATACAAATCAGAACCTTTTTTCCCAAATGTCAGTCATAAAACCTAAAAATATTCTACATAAAAACCGGCCATGAAGAAATGATCTGATCCATCTTGCTTGACTGTGGATCCTAAGACTCCTCTTCCAGACAGGGTCCTCTTTCACACCTAGAAGGAAGTAATGTTTCTCAGAGAGGCCAAGAAGAATCTAGACAGATGGGCCTTGCTGGGTTTCTCCACTCAGTTCATTAGCATTTAAATCAGACCTTTTTTCCCAATCACATTACTACACAGCTGTCCAAACATTGTTGAACTTAAGCATAAAAATGGACAATTTCCCCTGTAATTAGGTCTTCATTCTGAAGTGTACACTAGCTAAATAAATGTGTATGCCTTTTCTCCTGCTGATCAATCTGTGTCATGCCAGTGGTTTTTCAGGGACCCTTCATGAAAGTCAAAGGGGAACTTTCTCCTTGACTCCCCTGGAGTTAATAAATAAAAAATTTGGTCAGTCATCTGTTGCCAGATGTGTAAGGAATCTTCCTTATTCAGGTTGAAGACTAGCTGAGTCCGCATGCTAATAATGCAGTCAGCTGCGATTTTCACTTCTTGCAACCATTGTTTTCACAAACCCAGGGTGTTCAGAATAGTAGAGACAATCCAGGGCCCATTGAGAGGAGGGTTGGAATACAAACGATGCATGAGGATCTTCGACTGTGACTCTACCCTTTTGAGTTCATCCACTGTCTTTGCAGATCACAGTGAAGGCTTCCACATGCTGATCACAGAAAGCCCATGTGCCTGGCATGTGATTGGCAGAGACAAACATCAATGCTCTATTCAATGAAGTAGCACACAGCCCAGGCATCCTTGTTATCTTCACCACTGGCAAAGCCTTGGTAGGCCATATCAAAGAATGCAGAGATACATTTTCTTTGCCACTGTTGCTGTTTCGTTCCACTGTTCTGCATAAGGGTTCCAGGCATGCAGAAGAGTATTCTGCTGTGGTATTTTTGAAATGCTGCCACTGCAGGAAGGAAAATAAAAGGTGCTGTTTCCTGTCTTATTTAGGAAAATGGGAAAGCTCTCTCTTTTCCCTTTCATGCTGTTCTTTTCCTTATGCACAAAGATTTTTAACTAACCTCATGCTGTGAGACTTTCATCCCATTCTATGCTGAATTGACCATCTACCCTGTGTTAGTTTGTTCTCATGATGGTAACAAAGACATATCCAACACTGGGTAATTTATAAAGAAAGAGGTTTAATTGACTCACAGTTCAACATGGCTAGGGAAGCCTCAGGAAACACAATAATTGTGGAAGGGGAAGTAAACATGTCCTTCACATGGCAGCAACAAGGAGAAGTGCTGAGCAAAAGCGGGAAAAGTCCCTTTTAAAATCATCAGATCTCATGAGAATTCACCCACTATCATGAGAACAGCATGAGGGTAACTGTCCCTATAATTCAATTACCTCCCACTGGGTCCCTCATGACACTTGGGGATTATGGGAATTACAGTTCAAGATGGGATTTGGGTAGGGACACAGCCAAACCATATCAAACCGCATCCCACTTGGATTTATTTAAGAATAAAGAACATAATTTTCTGCTGATGTTGTAGCCACCCCTTTATCAGCAAAGAATAGTGTAGACAGTAACAGCACTTAATTTGAGCATCCTCTTCAATGGTTGTGTTGCCTCTGCCCAGCTGGACCTCTGCCCTTCATTGAATATCGTTGTGCAGTCATCATGTCATATCATGAGTCAGGCAGCACAGGCCAATACCAGGAAAGAGGGCTCTGATGGGATCCCAGGGGGCATGGGCTCCAGCGAAGGTCTTCTTCTTGCTTTGTATTACAAGACCTCCCCAGTGGAGTGAATAATGAAGTCTTTTTTTCTGTATATTTTAAATTAAACCATGCACAGGTGTTTCAGCCAGCTAAATAGTTCAGCCTGGACTATTTCAGCTCAAATTATCCAAATAATTATTTAAACAATATTTTAAATATAATTTATCACACAGAGAATGCCTCTGTGTGAAGCAAGTGGTGGTAATTTAAAATAACTAATAATTATAATTACTGGAATTTAGGCTCCTGATTATTTTCTACTTCATAATTTACAGAGAACCTATGAGAATTCAAACGCTGTGTCTTGCCAAAGGAGCTTCTTGGTTTGTCTGCATTTGATGGTTTCTTTTCACCTGGAGCAGCTATTTTAGAACTGTCTAGACAATCACCCCAACTTTAAAGTTCTTTTTCATTCTTTTCACAAAGTCACTGAGCACAAAGCATGATAAACAGATGATGCTGGCCCTCTCTCACCCAAGATGCTATTAAAATATAGGCAGGAAAAAGAATGCCTTCACTCTGGCTCACAAAATCAAGAGGTCTTAATATTCAAGCCCAAGCATCCACCAATTTACCAAGCTTTAACAAGAAGGCCTACTAATGTCAACATGTCTGTAGTAGCTGGATCATACTTTTTGATTGAGCTGCATGAAATGGTTAATATTTGCCCATCTTGGACATAGGAAAATGACAGTTTAAGATGTTTCAAACCAAGAGATTGGGGAAAGAACTTGGGAGCGCTCTGTTTCCATTTTCCTTCTCCAGTTCCCAAGCAACACTCATTTGGGTTCTAGCAATGACCCAGAATGTACAGCTTCTGTAGGCCACTTTTGCCACGGCAGGGAAATAATGCAACCAAACATGATTCTGGGACATTCCATACATGCTTGTCCTAGGTAATTCCTAAGAGTGAGTAAATAAGATCCCAGGGAGATGTACACTGGTCAGTCTACTTCATCCCTCACACCCCTTTCTTTCAAGAAGTGATGGACAGCTTTCAAGTTTTCCACAGGACTCCTACAGCCCAACTATCTTCAGGATATTTAATGGGTTCTGAGATTGCATCTCAATCTCTGACCCTCTTGGGAATATTCCTACTTAGTACTCCCTGATGTTGCAAGTATTTTATTTTGGAGGAAAAAAGTGCACTAGAGTGGGTATCTATAGATATACAGATGTATATTAAATATCATATTCAATATAATATACAATTACATTATATACAACATATATATGCATTTTTACTGGTATATCACATTATATATTATATGTATATATAAAGATACCTACCAATCAATGATCAGTCAGTTTTATTCACTTCCTTATGTTAGATTATTTATTCTTCAGTAAAATAAAATATGCACATATTAATTTTCCACTAACATATCATTTCTACTGTCATGTTCAAGATCTGTCTCTACCTTTCACTGTGTCCCACTTCCTCCACAGATGATATGTGTACATAAATTAGTTTGAGGGTCTTAAGTCCAAAGCATTTCTCCTGAATATAAACTGGGGCTTCAGAAACAAAAGCAGCCCAAGAATGTTGGGCCAAGGGCTAAGAAATTTAATTTCAGTGCCACTCACAATTGAAAACTGCCTGTGCCAGGAGCTGGGCTAAATACAATAGTGGTAAGGGGATACAAAGTAGATGAATACTCAGTCTCTACTTAAGCAGGTACAATTCTTATAGGGGAATACAATTCCAAGATCAAGTGGAGCAAACAGCATAAAACCAAGTTAAAAGATGTTGTCTTAGTCCACTCTGTGTTGCTGTAAAGGAATAGCTAAGGTTGGGTAGTTTATAAATATCAGGTTTATTTTGGCTCAAAGTTCTGCTGGCTTTAAAGATGCAGGGCACTACCATCTGCTCAGCTTCCAGCAAAGGCTTTTGTGCTGCATTAAAATACAGCTGAGAAGTCAAAGGGGAAACAAACACATGCAAACACGTACGAAACCCAGGGGTGTCCTGTTCTAGCAACCCACTCTTGCAGGAATTAATCAATTCAACGAGAAACAGGCTAGTCTCAGGAGACCAATAATGCCCTCATTGTCATAAGAAAGGTAGCAAGTCATTCATGAAGGATCTGTCCCCAAAACCGCTCACTATGCCACATCTCCAACACCACCATGCTACGGATCAAATGTTAATGTGAGATTTGATGAGGACAAACAAACCATAGCCAAACCATAGCAAATATGCATTCAAATTCTCTGGGGGCCATAAGTTATAAGCAGCATGATTAGGGCAATTTGCTTAACCTATCCTATTTCCTGCCTTGTACTTCAGTTAATAATAAATTTCTAATCTTACTTGCTATTTAATAAGATGATTACTGAAAATATTGTGTCAGGCAGAGTGAGATTGGTAAACTAAAACCCTATAAGAGAAAGCCCTTATTTTCAGTGAGTATCCACTGCATGCAAAAACTATCCTAAATTCATTTTCAGCAAGCTTAAAATGCATCCTTTTAGATGGAAAAGTTAAGCAAAAATAAGTTAATTAATCTCACCACTACCAGAAGACTCTTTCCTGCAGGGATATAATGAAGTCCCGAACTGAGGGCAAATTTCTCTGGAGTCATCGCAATTTCTCATTTCCTAATTGCCAACATCTTCTCACATTCCCATTTTTCACTTCCCAGACACTCTAAAGCAACTCAATCTGATTTCTACTTCCATTATTCATATAAAACTGGTTTGGGAAAAATTCTGAATGCACCTTGTTGTAAAGCTGAAGGGGGACTGTTCTGTTTTTATTCTACCTGACCCCTCAGCACCACTACACCTTGCCATTCATTCACTTTGCCAACTGGAATCAGTTTCCTCCCCTAGCTTTTGCTATATGCACCCCTTTCCTCTTTTTCCTTCATTAGCCACTTGCTCTAGGTTCTTTTCTACTGCTTCTGCCCCTTTAGAGCTGTAAATGCAGGCACTCCTCATGGCTCTGTTCCAGGCCAACAGCTCTTAGTCAGTCCTTCTCAAGATGTGCCTGAAATTTGTGAACTTCCTGAATCAGCCCTACCAGAAACAAGCTTCAGGAGGGAAAGAACTTTTGCACATTAATTGCTGAATTCCCAATACCTGAAAGAATCTCAGGCACACTCCAGGTTCTCCATAAACATTTGCTGAAGGAATGTGAATTGCCTAAAGTGCTTGAGATGCTACTGGGATGCCCATATAGACTTCTAAATTGGAATCACAGTGCATCTGAGAACCAAAATCTCTGGTCTCCTACCACACTGCCTTTTATCCATGTTCTTTCCTTAACCTGATATCCTCTCCTATGTTCTCATTCTTTAATGCTCAGGGAAGCCTTTCCTGACCCTAGTTGGATTACATCTCTGTGGATAGGATGAGGATTCTCACCTTTGCAAAGCTTGGTAGGTGGTATTAAAGTCCCGCCATGACTGCCAAGCACTATACAATGTCCCAGTGCATTGATGCCCTTACCTTGGAGAGGGCTGTAACACGGTCTTTTCTAACCACTATACAGGTTGAGATGAGAGAGCATTTATGAAAGCATTTGCACCATAAGATAATAACTCTGTTAGAGGTAGCAGAAAAATAATAATGCACTTTTCAAAGTTGCCACTGAAATTGAAAACTATATCTAGCTCTTTATTACGAATTAGAATGATTTATATTTACTGTCTATTAGATGAATGCACGATTCCCAATAGAAAAGAGATGTGATGCATTATTTAAGTCTCTCTTGGGAGTAGAGTCAACATATTATTCAGTCTTTAATGGGCAGAAAACCCATACAAATTGGATCAAATCGGTCATACTATGCAACAGTGATGCTCTGAACATATACTATAAAATCAGTATAGTTTCTATTCTTCTGCCTCTCAATAACCAATTTTAATAAGCAGGAAATAATTCACATTATTTTGAAATAGCCTCTTCAGAAATGGTTGGAATGAGGAAAAATCTTGGGTTTCAGTTAGGTCTGTAACTGTATTCCTTATTTTTATTTATTTATTTATTTATTTTTAGACAGAGTTTCACTCTTGTTGCCCAGGCTAGAGTTCAATGGCATCATCTTGGCTCACTGCAACCTCCGCCTTCCAGGTTAAAGCAATTCTCTTGCCTCAGCCTCTCGACTAGCTGGGATTATAGGCACCCACCACCACATCCGGCTAATTTTGTATTTTTAGTAGAAATGGGGTTTCACCACGTTGGTCAGACTGGTCTCGAATTCCTGACCTCAGGTGACCCGCCCACCTCAGCCTCCCAAAGTGCTGGGATTACAGGCGTGAGCCACCATGCCCAGCTGTATTCTTTATTTTTAAACAAGATAAAAATCTCTGAAGTAATAACAAATGTTAACGGTTATTAAATCTGAGTAACAAACACATAGATTTCTGTTTTTGTTTTTCTATATTTTTCTTCAAAGTATCTGATTAAAACTTAAAGAGGATGTTAAAATCAGTTTAAACAAGGCACCACAAAATACCTCAATGGAAAATAAAGAAGAGAGCATGTTCTTCTTGGTGCCAGGTGACTGTGGAGACCCCATGGGGATGGGGAGGCCAGCTGGCAGCCAGTGGACTCCATTCCCACAGTGTCTACCTCAGTTTGTATTGCCAGCTTATGCAGGGAGAGCCCATTAGGCTTCTGATATTCAAAAGAAATTCTAACTCAGCCAGGGAGTAAGGAAATCTTAGCAGCTGATGGTTTTTAATATGTTCTAACAGTTTTTAAACTAAGGAAACTATTATCAATATCTGCTTCTACCCTCCTTAATGAGTTGCAAAAGTGTGTAACCCCTACCTTTCTCTCTAATAGAACCAATATGGTAGCAAAAGGGATATTTTACACAAAAGGCAGTGTGAGAGATTGGACTTTCAGGCACATTTTTTAAGAGATAAGGGTTTCTCAAGGCTGGATGCAAAGTTGTAGGATGCAAGTAATCCTCCCATGTCAGACTCTCAAGTACCTAGGATTACAGGCAAGCAACCCCATGCGCAGTTTAGGCATAAATTTTTAAAAAAGCATTTGCCTGAAGCACTACACTTCCATGTGGGGTGTGGAAAGGTAAGTAAGCAAAACAATTTTTCTCTTAGAGTACGAGTTGGAAATCTATAGCCCATGGGCCAAATGTGGTCCACTGGCTGCTTCTGTAAATGAAGTATTAATTTAACACAGCCCAGTCCATTCATTTGCATGTTATCTATGGCTTCTTTCTTATAACATCAGAGGTGAGTAGTTGAGACAAAATCTGGATAGCCTCAAAAGCTGGAAACGCTTACCATCTGGCTGGCTACAAAAAAGTTATGAAAGAAGGGAGGCAGGGAGGGAGGCAGGAAGAAAGGAAGGAAGGAGGGAAGTGAGAAAAGGGAAGGGAGGATGGGAGGAAGGGAGGGAGGGAAGGAGGGAGAGAAGGAGGGAGGCAGGGAGGGAGGGAGGAGAGAAGAAAGAAAAGAAAAGAAAAGAAAGAAAGAAAGAAAAAAGGAAGGAAGGAAGGAAAGAAAAAAGAAGGAAGGAAGGAAGAAAGAAAGAAAGAAAGAGAAAGAAAGAAAGAGAAAGAAAGAAAAGAAAGAAAGAAAGAGAAGAAAGAAAGAAAGAAAAAGAAAGAAGAGGGAGGGGAAGAAAGAGTAACAAGTGACTGGAGAAAATAAAATATAGTGTTTCTCAATTACTTTTTCTAGTTTTCTAGTCATGCAGTACTATACATTTATACTACATTTTTGCTTTAATACAGAAAAACAATTATAAAGACCCAAATATTATCACCTTTTCTCTTTTAAAAGAAACTAGTGGTCTGGCCGGGTGTGGTGGCTCATGCCTGTAATCCCAGAACTTTGGGAGGCCGAGGCCAGTGGATCACGAGGTCAGGAGATCGAGACCATCCTGGCTAACACGGTGAAACACCGTCTCTACTAAAAATACCAAAAAAAAAAAAAAAAAAAAAAAATAGCAGGGCGTGAGAGCGGGCCCCTCTAGTCCCAGCTACTCAGGAGGCTGAGGCAGGAAAATGGTGTGAACCCTGGAGGCAGAGCTTGCAGTGAGCCGAGATCATGCCATTGCACTCCAGCCTGGGTGATAGAGCCAGACTCCATCTCAAAAAAACAAAAACAAAAACAAACAAACAAAAAAAAAAAACAAAAAAAAAAACCTAGTCATCCACAAAGGAAATGTAAAGAGGATATGTTGGCAATAAATAATTCAACACATTGTTACAACATCACTGTTTCACAGTCTCTCAACTAGCCATTTCCTAGAGTAGGACTATTTTATTTGTATACCTATTTGCAATTGAATAACTCCATTACAGGTAAAAATACTAATGGAAGTTTATAGGCAAAAACCTTTCCCTTTTTCTAGAAAAATAGAAGTCACAGCTGTATGCTACAGAGAAACAGAAAAGTAAACTTTCCTTTCAGTTCTTTCAAAATAATTACCTCTATAGGGAATAAAGATGATGTTTGTGTTTTGACATAAGTAAAAGCCTATTTTTAGTTCATTTCATATGCCTGGACTTTCCAATGTTTGGGGAAATATTAGGAACTGGAGATGTTTTTGTAGCTACATAAGACTGTATCATTCCCAGAAGCTTCATAAATTGAAAATGAGACTTTACTGATATTCTTTCTTTTGTTTTTCCTCAAAAGGATTCTCAAATAGGAAAACAGTAAAAAATAGACAGTGCAGAGCTATGGTTGCCAAGGCAACCATAATCATCTTTCCCTTGAACTGTGGTAGAACAACCACTGCAGTTCATGTTTCCTGAGAATGCTTATATGTGTTCAAAGTCATTATTATATAGAAATATCATTCCAATCAATTAGGCGATGATAAAAATGTAGAACAGGAACTAAAATGTCCATGGCATTCTCACTGTGGAAGGTAGATGGGAAAACAACACTTGCTAGCATACAGAACACATCTTTCCACTCCACGCCATTCAACATAAATTGGGGTACTATGCTGCCTACTACCATTAATAGACGCATGAGTCCGGCCCATAGAAAAAGTAGTAAACACAAATTAAATGAACTGCAATCCTCTGCTAGATCCCCATAGTCAAAGAGAACTATGACAAACTATAGAATGGCTGGTAGGCACACTCACAAATTACCATTTTGTGGATAAAATGGTGACTATTTATGACCATCAGTTTGTCTTCACAGTGAAAAGAAGAAAACTTTGATATTGATATTTGATATTTAAATATCCCATACAATTTTGAAGAAACCGTATCTTGTGTGATGTTTCCTTCAGGACTAAAGAGGATTGTATTTTCTCCAGGAGATGCTCAATATCTGAGAGGCTGCACAGTCAGTTTACACTAAGTGATCTTTGCTTTCAATTTCTGTGAGAAACATACTCACCCATCCAAACCCAAAAAGTGGACCTAGAGGCACAAAGAACAGCAAAAATAAGACTTTTTAATAATGATTTTGCAAGACTGGGTGTCTGGTGGGCAGGCACACCTGGGACAGTCATGACAGGTAATTTATCTCCTGGTATATAATAGTTCCTCCCTGGTTGGGTTAAAATTTTCCCAGATGTTGCATAAATTTTATTACCCCCCTTGTCAGGTTATAACCCAGTCCCCTTGCCCACTTATGTTTTGATTTCCCAATAACAAAATTTTCTTCCCTTTTATGGCCTGATCCGTCCTCTACATTTTGTTTGCTTATTATAAACTTCTAGGTGCATGAGCCATGCAGTTTGTTACATTTGCAGGCTGGCGGCCAGTAGTTAGATTTATCATGCCTTGAAAAAGGACCATTTAAAATGTTTTTTCACAAATTCCCTCTTTTCTATTTACTTCCTTTGGTCTTATTTTTAGTTAAACCCTTTTGGTTCTTAAATTGCTCTAGAAGTCATTTACTTTCCTCCTCCTAAGAGAGTGAGTTTAATTTGGTTTCTAGTAGTAGTGGGTTATTTTGTTCATAAGTTATGGGCATTTTTTTAAATAGCTGTTTCAATTAATCTCTGTGCTAGTACCTTCATACAAGGGATAATACAACATCCCACTGCTTTTAAGACTTCTGCCACAACTATAAGATGTAAAGATTGAAGCTACCATGCCTTTCCACTTTCCAAACCAACCTTCTAGCCAATCTGTAAGCAGGTCATTAATGCCAGCATTTTCTGCCAGTTCATTAGCTAAAGTTGTTTGTCCTTATAAAGCTTTCGTGATGGTCCCACCTGGGTCAGTATTGTTGGGAATGAAAGTACAACATTTTCCACCCAGCATCATGTCTAGCACAGGGCTGTTTTCCCACAGCTCAATTGAAAGGCTGCAAAGGTAACATGCAATAAGGACTCACTCTCCTGAATTTGCAAGAATGTCTCCTATAACCTTGTAAAAAGGTCTCAAAAAAAGAGTGATGGCTGAAAGCCAGATGGCAGAGTTCAGGAGTAGAGAGATGAGTATGTGAATGAGCTTTGAGTGTAAACTATTCTTATGAGAGATTTAGGTGTAAAAGAGAGATGGCTTTTGGAAGATGTTTGCTCAAGGAAGCCTTTTGACATGATGAGATGACTTAGTGTGTAGAAATTGAAGCTGGGGGAAAGTAAGATGATACAATCTGGTGCAAGCCGCATGAAGCAGAACTGCATGGGATTTGGACAGGAAGACAGATGCCTCTGAGATGGGAGAAAATGGGGCCTATGCTGCCCACACTTGAATTTCATTTGTGATTAATTTTGACTACAAGGACAAATTGACCCAATACTTTCATGTAGAACTAGCTATAACAAAGGAATATTTAAAGTTTTAAGTGAGTTTGTTTTAATCTCACAAAGTACAAAAGGAATCCATTTTCTTTTCCAACAAGACACAACTGAAAAAACTCATTGTTTCACCAAGGCTTTGAATGGAAGGATGTGTTTCCCTTTAAGAAGCCAAGAAGCTTTTAACTTGCAAAGCCAATAAAAGCCCCTAATAGTTTGGCCTCATAGTTTGTCCATATAGTCCCCATGCCTGAAAGAACTCCTAGCTTTCTCAGCTGGTGGTAGGCTGGTAGCCTGGGGCAAATTCTTAGGCCTGCTTACCCACTGCCTGGAAATAAACTCAGTACTGCTACAGGCGGGTGTACAATTGAGTGAGACTGGCTTTTTGGGCTGCATGTGATCTTTACGAATCCTGTAACTGCCAGCTTTCCTTCACTTTCCTGACAACCTGCATGACAGCAGAGGCAGCCATGATATTCCTGGGAACATAATCCATTGGCTTGAGAACAAAACTCCATTTCCCATAGCAGCCATGGCAAACCCTGACTAAGGAGAGTCTAAGGTCAGAAAAACCCCGTCCCCACTGGATGGTCTTTCTTTACTCACCCTGGTAGCTGAAGACGCACCTTGGCAGTGGAAGACACAATGTCTTGCAAGCTTTTTGGCCCCACCTGCCACCTGATCCTCCCTCTACTACTGCAGCTAATGCTGTCTTGAAAGTGCCATCTCCTGGTGGGAGACCAACCAACACAAACCTAGCCTAATAAACGTAACTATAACCAAGGACCCACAAAAAGTCCACTTCACTCCCCTGCCAATTCAACCAGAGCAAGTGCTGGTATCCACACCTGAGACATCTGAAGACAGTTCACATCACAGGACTCTGTGCAGACATTCCCAGTATCAGCCCAGAGCCTGGTAGCTTCATAGGGTGGTTAGACAATGGAAAAGACATAACAATCACTGAAGGCTCTCAGAAAGCCACATCCCTAGGGGAAAAGGAAGAGCACAACATCAAGGGATCACCATGTGGGACAAAAGAATTTGAACAAAAGCATTTAAGACCCAAATTTTCCCTCTGTCATAGTTTACCCAAGTGAGAAGAAATAAAAAAAAGCAATTCTGGTAATATGACAAAACAAAGATTTTTAACAGCACAAATAGCTCACCAGCAATGAATCCAAACCAAGAAGAAATCTCTGAATTGCCAGAAAAAGAATTCAGAAGGTCGATTATTAAGCTAATCAAGGAGGCACCAGAGAAAGGTGAAGTTCAACTTAATGAAATAAACAAAGATACAATATATGAAGGGAAAAATCTTCAGCGAAATACATAGCATAAATATAAAATAATCACAACTTCTGGAAAGAAGGACACATTTAAGAAACTGCAAAATGCACTTGAAAGTCTCAGCAACAGAATCAAATAAGTAGAAGAAAGAACTTAAGAGGTTGAATGCAAGGCTTCCAAATTAACCCAACCTGACAAAATCAAAGATAAAAAGCATTTTAAAAAAATAAACAAAGACTCCAACAAAGACTAAAAAGAATAAGAAAATATGAATAAATCCTCCAAGAAGTCTGGGATTATGTCAAATGCCTAAACCTAAGAACAACTGGTGTTCCTGAGGAAGAAGAGAAATCTAAAAGTTTGGAAAACATATTCAGGGAAATAATTGAGGAAAACTTCCTTGGCCTTGCTAGAGACACAGACATCCAAATACAAGTAGCTAAAAGAACACCTGGGAAATTAACTGCAAAAAGATCATTATCTAGGCACATAGTCAAAAAAAAAAAAAAAAAAAAGAAGGACAAGAGCATTAGATGAGGAAAGCTGTGAGGCAAAAGCATCAGGTAACCTAAAAGAGAAAGAGCAAATTTCTCAGCAGAAATCCTATAACCTAGAAGGGATTAGGGCCCAATCTTCAGCCTCCTTAAATAAAATAATTACCAGCCAAGAATTTTATATCCAGTGAAACTAAGCTTCATAAATAAAGGAAAGATACAGTCCTTTTCAGACAAACAAGTGCTGAGAGAAGTCACCACCACTGCCAAGCCAGCCCTACAAGAACTGCTAGAAAGAATTATAAATCTTGAAACAAATCCTTGAAATACAACAAAATAGAACATCCATAAAGGATAAATCTCACAGGGCCTATAAAACAATAACAATAAAAAAAAAACAAGGTATTTGGGCAACAAATAGCACAATCAATAGAATAGGATTTCACATCTCAATGCTAATGTGACAGAATAAATAAAAATTCACCAACAAAACATGTAACTGTTGTCTTCCAGAGACTCACCTAACACATAATGACTCATATAAACTTAAGGTAATGTGAGGGAAAAAGATAATTCCATGTAAATAGACACCAAAGCAAGAAGGAGTAGCTATTCTTAACCAGACAAAACAAACTTTAAAGCAATAGAAGTTTAAAAAGACAAAGGGAGACATTATATAATGATAAAAGAACTTGTCCAGTAGAAAAATGTTAAAATCCTAAATATATGTGCACCTAACACTGGAGCTCACATATTTATAAAACAATTACCAGCACACCTAGGAAATGAGACTGATGGCAATATAATAATATAAGAAATTTTAATACTTCACTGACAGCACTAGACAGGTCATAAATATAGAAAAGTCAACAAAGAAACAATGGACTTAAACTATATCCTAGAACAAATGGACTTAACAGATATTTACAGAACATACTACCCAACAACTGCACAATATAGATTCTGTTGATCAGCACATGGAACATTCTCCAAGATAGACCATATGATAGGCTGCAAAATACGTCTCAATAAATTTAAGAAAATGAAATCTAAATTATATCAAGTACTCTCTCAGACCACAGTAGAATAAAATTGGAACTCACTTCCAAAGTGCAAAAACTATGCAAATACATGGAAATTAAATAAGTTAAATTAAATAGTCTGCTCTTAAGTGATCCTTGGCTCAAGGATGAAATGGAAATATAAATTAAAAAATTATTTTAATAGAATGATAATAGTGACACAAACTCTCAAAATCTCTGAAATACAGCAAAAGCAGAGCTAAGAGAAAACTTCATAGTCCTAAATGATTCTGTGTCTGAAAGCGCATAAATAGACAATCTAAGATCAAACCTCAAAGAACTAGAGGAACAGGTTCTAGAGAAAAAAAGAACCAAAATCCAGCAGAATAAAGGAAATAACCAAGATCAGAGCAGATTAAAATTGAAACAAAGAAGCAAACAAAATGCAAAACATAAATAAAACAAAAAGTTGGTTATTTGAAAACATAAGCAAAATTGATAGACCACTAGTGAGATTAACCAAGAAGATATAAGATCCAAATAATTTCAATTAAAAACAAAACAGAAGATATTACAACCAACACAGAAATACATAAGATCTTTTTTTTTTTTTTGAGACAGAGTCTCACTCTGTCACCCAGGCTGGAGTGCAGTGGCACGACTTCAGCTCACTGCAAGCTCTGCCTCCTAAGTTCACACTATTCTCCTGCCTCAGCCTCCTGAGTAGTTGGGACTACAGGTGCCCACGACCACGCCCAGCTAATTTTTTGTGTTTTTAGTAGAGACGGGGTTTCACTGTGTTAGCCAGGATGATCTAGATCTCCTGACCTCATGATCCACCCGCCTTGGCCTCCCAAACTGTTGGGATTACAGGTGTGAGCCACCATGCCTGGCCCATAAGATTGTTTAATGCTTTTATGTACACCTTTACATCTACAAACTAGAAAACCTAGAGAAGATGGATAAATTCCTGGAAACACATAATTCTCCAAGATTAAACCATAGAAACTCTGAACAGACTAATAAGAAGTGTGAGATTGAAAAAGTAATTTTAAAATTGCCCACAAAAAACAGTCCAGGTCCAGTTGGATTCACAGCTGAATTCTATTAGACATTGAAAAAACATTGATACCAATCTTACTGAAACTATTCCAAAAGATCGAGAAACAGGGAATTCTCCATAAATTATTCTATGAAGCCAGTATTATCCTAATGCCAAAACCAGGAAAAGATATAACCAAAAAAAGAAATCTACATGCCAGTATCCCTGATGAACATAAATGCAAAAATCATCAAGAAAATATGAGCCAGCCAAATCTAAAAGCATATGAAAAAGATAGTACACCATGATCAAGTGGGTTTTATACCAAGGATACAGTGTTTGTTTAACATACAAAAGTCAGTAAATGTGTCACAACACATAAAAAAGATTAAAAACAAGAATCACATTATCATCTTAATAGACATAGAAAAGGCATTTGACATAATACAACATCCCTTTATGATTAAAACCCTGAGCAAAATAGACATAAAGGACATACGTTAAGGTAATAAAAGCCATCTATGACAAACCCATAGCCAACATTATACTGAATGGGGAAAAGGTGAAAGCATTTTCCCTGAGAATTGTAGCAAGACAAGGATGCCCCACTTTTGTCACTCCTCTTCAACACAGTCCTAACCAGAACAATCAGACAACAGAAAGAAATAAAGGACATCCAGATCAATAAAGAGGAAGTCAGACTGTCACTGTGCATCAGTGACATGAATTGTATACCTAGAAAACCCTAAAGACTCATCCAAAAGACTCCTTGATCTAATAAATGGATTCAGGAAAGTTTCAGATATAATGTATACAAACCAGTAGCACTGCCATGCACCAGCAACGATGAGCTGATAATCAAATCAAGAACTCAACCCCTTTTAGAATAGCTGCAAAAAATTAAAATACTTAGGAATATACCTAACAAAAGAGGTAAAAAATATTTACAAGGAAAACTATGAAACATTACTGAAACAAATCACAGACAATACAAACAAATGGAAATACATCCCATACTCATGGATGAATAGAATTAATATTGTGAAAATGACCATACTGCCAAAAGCAAACTAGAAATTCAATGTAATTCCCATCAAAATGCATCATCATTCTTCCCAGAATTAGAAAAAACAATCCTAAAATTCATATAGAACAAAGAAAAAACCCTCATAGCCAAAACAAGACTAAGCACAAAGAACAAATCTGGAGGCATCACATTACCCAACTTCAAACAATACTACAAGGCTATAGTTACCAAAACAGTATGGTATTGATATAAAAACAGGCAAGCAGGCCAATGGAACAGAATGCAGAACTCAGAAATAAAGCCAAACACTTATGGCTAAATGATGATCAACAAAGCAAACAAAAACATAAAAATAGGATAAGTACAGTCTATTCAACAAGTGGTGCTGAAATAATTGGCAAGCCACATGTAGAAGAAAGAAACTGAATCCTCATTTCTCACCTTACACAAAAATCAACTCAAGATGAACCAAATACTTAAATCTGAGACCTGAAATTAGAAAAATTCTAGAAGATAACATTGGAAAAACTCTTTTAGACATCGGCTTAGGCAAAGAGTTTATGACCAAGAATCCAAAAGCAAATGGAACAAAAACAATGATAAATAGATAGGACTTAGTTAGACTAAAAAGCTTTTTTACAGAAAAAAATAATCAGCAGAGTAAACAGACAACTCACACAGTGGGAGAAAATCTTTGCAAAATATGCATCCAAGAAAGGACTAACATTCAAAATCTACAAGGAACACAAACAAGTTGCAAGAAAAAAATTTCATCCAAAAGTGGGCTAAGGACATGAATAGACAATTCTCAAAAGAAGATACACAAATGAGCAACATACATATGAAAAAATGTTCAACATCACTAATTATCATGGTAATGCAAATCAAAACCATAATGCCATACCACCTTACTCCTGCAAGAATGGCCATAATTTAAAAATTAAAAAAAATAGATGTCAGCATGGATGTAGTGAGAAGGAAACAGTTTTACAATGCTGGTGGGAATGTAAAATAGTGCAACCACTATGGAAGATTGTATGGAGATTCCTTAAAGAACTAATTGTAGAACTATATTTGATTCATCAATCCCAGTACTTGGTATCTACCCAGAGGAAAAGAGGTTATTATATGAAAAAGACCCTTGTGCATGCATGTTTATAGCACCACAATTCACAATCACAAAAATATAGAACAAGCCTAAGTGCCATTAACCAATGAATATGTGGTATATAACTAATGAATACGTGGTATATATATTTACCATGGAATACTACTCAGTCATAAAAATGAATGAAATAATAGCATTTGCAGCAAACTAGATGGAGTTAGAAAACATTATTCTAAATGAAGTAACTCAGGAATGCAAAACCAAACATTCACTTATAAGTGGGAGATAATATATGTGGACACAAAGACTTAAGAATGACACAATGGACTCTTGGGCTTGGCAGGAATGAGGAGGAAAAAGGTGAGGTATAAAAGATGACACACTGGGTGCAGTGTACACTGCTCAAGTGATGGGTACATTGAAATCTCAGAAATCACATCTGAAGAACTTATACATGTAACCAAACACCATCTGTTTCCCCAAAACTATTGAAATAATAACAATAATTTTAAAAAGGTGTTAACACCATCAGCTTGCCCTTGAATTACTTCCTGGGAGAAGCCAAGAACTATCCCAAGCTAAGCCTGTTTGGGGGCTCACCTGACCTGCATCAGAAGGAGAAAATATAATGGTGATTACCAGGGGCTGGAAGGAGAAGTGGGAACTGGGGATTGTTCCTCAAATGGAACAAAGTTTCAGTTAAATAGGAAGAATAAATTCAAGAGATTTTTTGCACCTTACGGTGACTGTAGATAACAACAACGTATTATATATTTGAAAATTGCTGAGAAAGTAGACTTAAGGGTTCTCTCCCCTGAAAATGATAAGCATGTGAAGTGATGCAAATGTCATGAGCCTGACTTAACCATTCCATAATATGTACATACATGAAAATATCATGTTGGCATTATAAATACATACAATTTTAATAAATTTTAAAAGTAGCATTGCATATGTTTGGATTTTGATTGTCTTTTTAAGTCAAAAGGAATTGTTATTGGGATAGCATTATATTTATGTATCTATGTTATATATATATATGTATATGTGTTAGTGATGTATCACTAAAAAAGCTTGTAATCTCAAGAGAAGCCTCAATGGGTAAGTTCAGTCTACACAAGTGAAACATCCTTAGGTATTCTTGATAAGATGAAAGGGCTCGGGGTGAGTGATAAGAAAATATTGGACTGTGCCTACATTTAAAACACTCTTTCACATTTTCTACTTAAAAGACTAGACCACCACAGACCCCGCTAGAAAGTCTAACTTAAGTAAAGCCACTTAAATTGGACTATATCTAGTACAAAACAAGGGCCTTCACTTTATTTTGTTTAGTCCCCCCCTTTTTTTTGGCACAAAAATTCATTTTTTTTTAAATTATACTTTAAGTGCTGGGATACATGTGCAGAATGTGCAGGTTTGTTACATAGGTATATAAGTGACATGGTGGTTTGCTGCACCCATCAACCCATCATCTACATTAGGTATTTCTCTTAATGGATCCCTCCCCTATGCCCCCAAGTTCCAACAGGCCCCAGGGTCTGATGTTCCCCCACCGTGTCCATGTGTTCTTATTGCTCAACTCCCACTTAAGAGCAATAACATGTGGTATTTGGTTTTCTGTTCCTGTGTGAGTTTGCTGATAACGATGGTTTCCAGCTGCATCCATGTCACTGTAAAGGACATGAACTCATCCTTTTTTATGGCTGCATAGTATTCCATGGTGTATATGTACTACAATTTCTTTAACCAGTCTATCATAAAGGGCATTTGGGTTAGTTACAAGTCTTTGTTATTATGAATCAACATACATGTGCATGTTTGTTTATAGTACAAGGATTTACAGTTCTTTGGCTGTATACCCAGTAATGGGATTGCTGGATCAAATGGTATTTCAGATTCTAGATCCTTGAGGAATCGCCACACAGTCTTCCACAGTGGCTGAACTAATTTACTCTTTCCCAACAGTGTAAAAGCATTCCTATGTGTTGTTTCCTGACTTTTTAATGATCACCAACCATTGTAACTGGCATGAGATCATATCTCATTGTGGTTTTATTTGCATTTCTCTAATGGCGAGTGATGATGAGCTTTTTTTTTTATTTGTTTCTTGGCCACATAAATGTCTTCTTTTGAGAAGTGTCTGTTCAAATCCTTTGGCCAGTTTTTGATGTTTTTATATATATGTTATATATATATATATTTTATATACATATTTTGATGTTTATATATATTATATGTTTACTTTAAGTTCTAGGGTACATGTGCACAACGTGAAGATTTGTTATGTAGGTATACATGTGCCACGTTGGTTTGCTGCATGCATCAACTAATCATTTACGTTACGTATTTCACCTAATGCTGTCCCTCTACTAGTGCCCACCTCCCGACAGACACAAGTGTGTGATGTTCTCCACCCTGTGCCATTGTTCAATTCCCACCTATTAGTGAGAACATGTGGTGTTTGGTTTTCCGTCCTTGTGATAGTTCGCTGAGAATGATGGTTTCCGACTTCATCCATGTCCCTACAAAGGACATGAACTCATCCTTTTTTAAGTCTGCATAGTATTCCATGGTGTATATGTGCCACATTTTCTTAATCCAGTCTATCATTGGTGGACATTTGGGTTGGTTCCAAGTCTTTGCTATTGTGAATAGTGCCGCAATAAATATACATGTGCATGTGTCTTTATAGTGGCATAATTTATAATCCTTTGCATATATACCCAGTATTGGGATCAGTGGGCCAAATGGTATTTCTAGTTTTAGATCCTTGAGGAATTGCCACACTGTCTTATACAATGGTTGAACTAATTTACACTCCCTCCCTGTTCCTATTTCTCCACATCCTCTCCAGTATCTGTTGTTTCCTGACTTTTTAATGATCACTATTCTAACTGGCATGAGATCATATCTCATTTTGATTTTGATTTGCATTTCTCGATGACCTGTGATGATGAGCATTTTTTCATGTGTCTGTTGGCTGCAATAAAGTATTCTTTTGAGAAGTGTCTGTTCATATCCTTTGCCCATTTTTTGATGGTGTTGTTTGTTTTTTTCTCGTAAATTTATTTAAGTTCTTTGTAGATTCTGGATATTAGCCCTTTGTCAGATGGGTATATTGCAAAAATTTTCTCCCATTCTGTAGGTGGCCTGCTCACTCTGATGGTAGTTTCTTTTGCCATGCAGAAGCTCTTTAGTTTAATTAGATCTTATTTGTCAATTGTGGCTTTTGTTGCCATTGCTTTCGGTGTTTTAGTCATGAAGTTCTTGCCCATGCCTATGTCCTGAATGTTATTGCCTAAGTTTTCTTCTAGGGTTTTAATGGTTTTAGGTCTAACATTTAAGTCTTTAATCCATCTTGAATTAATTTTTGTATAAGGTGTAAGGAAGGGGTCCAGTTTCAGCTTTCTACATATGGCTAGCCAGTTTTCCCAGCATCATTTATTAAAGAGGGAATCCTTTCCCATTTCTTGTTTTTGTAGGGTTTGTCAAAGATCAGATGGTTGTAGATGTATAGTGTTATTTCAGAGGCCTCTGTTCTGTTCCATTTGGTCTATATATCTGGTTTGGTACCAGTACCATGGTGTTTTGGTAACTGTAGACTTTTAGTATAGATTGAAGTCAGGTAGCATGATGCCTCCAGCTTTGTTCTTTTTGCTTAGGATTGTCTTGGCTATCTAGGCTCTTTTTTGACACCGGATGGACTTTAAAGTAGTTTTTTTCCAATTCTGTGAAGAAAGTCATTGGTAGCTTGATGGAGATGACACTGGATCTATAAATTACCTTGGGCAGTATAAATATTTTCACAATATTGATTCTTCCTATCCATGAGCATGGAATGTTCTTCCATTTGTTTGTGTCCTCGTTTATTTTGCTGAACAGTGGTTTGTAGTTCTCCTTGAAGAGGTCTTTCACATCCTTGTAAGTTGGATTCCTATGTATTTTATTCTGTTTGAAGCAATTGTGATTGGGAGTTCACTCATAATTTGGCTCTCTGTTTGTCTGTTATTGGTGCATAGGAATGCTTGTGAGTTTTGCACATTAATTTTGTATCCTGAGACTTTGCTGAAGTTGCTTATCAGCTTAAGGCAATTTTGGGCTGAGATGATGGGGTTTTCTAAATATACAATCATGTCATCTACAAAGAGGGACAATTTGACTTCCTCTTTTTCTAATTGAATACCCTTTATTTCCTTCTCCTGCCTGATTGCCCTGGCCAGAACTTCCAACACTATGTTGAATAGGACTGGTGAGAGAGGGCATCCCTGTCTTGTGCCAGTTTTCAAAGGGAATGCTTCCAGTTTTTGCCCATTCAGTATGATATTGGCTGTGGGTTTGTCATAGATAGCTCTTATTATTTGGAGATACGTTCCATCAATACAGAATTTATTGAGAGTTTTTAGCATGAAGTGTTGTTGAATTTTGTCAAAGGCCTTTTCTGCATCTATTGAGATGATCATGTGTTTTTTGTTGTTGGTTCTTTTTATGTGTTGGATTATGTTTATTGATTTGCATATGTTGAACAAGCCTTGCCTCCCAGGGATGAAGCTGAATTGGTCATGGTGGATAAGCTTTTTGATGTGCTGCTGGATTTGGTTTGCAACTATTTTATTGAGTATTTCACATTGATGTTCATCAGGGATATTAGTCTAAAATTCTCTTTTTTTTGTTGTGTCTTTGCCAGGCTTTGGTATCAGGATGATTATGGCATCATAAAATCAGTCAGGGAGAATTCTCTTTTTTTCTATAGATTGGAATACTTTCAGAAAATGGTACCAGTTCTTCTTAGTACCACTGGTAGAATTCAGCTGTGAATCCATCTGGTCCTGGACTTTTTTTGGTTGGTAGGCTATTAATTATTGCCTCAATTTCAGAGCCTGTTGTTGGTCTATTCAGAGATTCAGTTTCTTCCTGTTTTAGTCTTGGGAGTGTCTATGTGTCCAGGAATTTATCCATTTCTTCTAGATTTTCTAGTTTATTTGCGTAAAGGTGTTTATAGTATCCTCTGATGGTAGTTTGTATTTCTGTGGGAACAGTGGTCCTATCCCCTTTATCATTTTTTACTGCGTCTATTTGATTCTTCTCTCTTTCCTTTATTATTAGTCTTGCTAATGATCTACCAACTTTGTTTAACTTTTCAAAAAACCAAAATACCAGCTCCTGGATTCATTAATTTTTTTTGAAGGGTTTTTTATGTCTCTATCTCCTTCAGTTCTGCTCTGATTTTAGTTATATCTTGTCTTCAGCTAGCTTTTGAATTTATTTACTCATGTTTCTTTAGTTCTTTTAATTGTGATGTTAGGGTATCAATTTTAGATCTTTTCTGCTTTCTCTTGTGGGCATTTAATGCTATAAATTTCTGTCTACACAATGCTTTAAATGTGTCCCAGAGATTCTGGTACCTTGTGTCTTTGTTCTCATTGGTTTCAAAGATCATCTTTATTTCTGCCCTCATTTCGTTATTTACCCAGTAGTTACTCAGGAGCAGGTTGTTTGTTTCCATGTAGTTGTGTGGTTTTGAGTGAGTTTCTTAATCCTGAGTTCTAATTTGATTGCACTGTGGTATGGGAGACAGTTTGTTGTGATTTCTATTCTTTTACATTTGCTGAGGAGTGCTTTACTTCCAACTATGTGGTCAATTTTAAAATAAGTATGATGTGGTGCTAAAAATGTATATTGTATAGATTTGGGGTGGAGAGTTCTGTAGATTCTATTAGGTCCACTTGGTGCAGAGCTGAGTTCAATTCCTGGATATCCTTGTTAACATACTGTCTCGTTGATCTGTCTAATATTGACAGTGGGGTGTTAAAGTCTCCCACTACTATTGTGTGGGAGTCTAACTCTCTTTGTAAGTCTCTAAGGACTTGTTTTATGAATCTGGGTGCTCCTGTATTGGGTGCATATATATTTAGGATAATTAGCTCTTCTTGTTGAATTGATCCCTTTAACATTATATAATGGCCTTGTCTCTTTTGATCTTTGTTGGTTTAAAGTCTGTTTTATCAGAAACTAGGATTGCATCCCTTGTTTTTTTTTTTTTTTTTTTTTTTTTTTTTTTGCTTTCCATTTGCTTTTAAGATCTTCCTCCATGCCTTTATTTTGAGCCTTTGTGTGTCTCTGCATGTGAGATGGGTCTCCTGAATACAGCACACAGATGGGCCTTAACTCTATCCAATTTGCCAATCTGTGCCTTTTAATTGGGGCATTTAGCCCATTTACATTTAAGATTAATATTGTTATGTGTGAATTTGACCTTGTCATTATGATGTTAGTTGGTTATTTTGCCCCTTTAATTGTTGCAGTTTTTTCATAGCATTGATGGTCTTTACAATTTGCCATGCTTTTGCAGTGGCTGGTACCAGTTGTTCCTTTCCATAGTTAGTGCTTCCTTCAGGGGCTCTTGTAAGGCAGTCCTGGTGATGACAAAATCTCTCTGCATTTGCTTGTCTGTAAAAGATGTTATAGCTTCTTCGCTTATGAAGTTTTGTTTGGCTGGATATGAAATTCTGGGTTAAAAATTCTTTTCTTTAAGGATGTTGAATATTGGCCCCAACTCTGTTCTGGCTTGTAGGGTTTCTGCCAAGAGATCCACTGTTAGTGTGATGGGCTTCCCTTTGTGGGTTACCTGACCTCTCTCTCTGGCTGCACTTAACATTTTTTCCTTTATTTCAACCTCGTGAATCTGACAATTATGTGTCTTGGGGTTGCTCTTCTTGAGGAGAATCTTTGTGGTGTTCTCTGCATTTCCTGAATTTGAATGTTGGCCTGCATTGCCAGGTTGGGGAAGTTCTCCTGGATAATATCCTGAAGAGTGTTTTCCAACTTGGTTCCATTCTCTTCATCGGTTTCATGTACACACCAATTAGATTCAGATTTGGTCTTTTCACATAGTCCCATAATTCTTGGAGGCTCCGTTCACTTCTTTTCAACTCTTTTTTTTTTCTGTAAACTTGTCTTCTTGCTTTATTTCATTAATTTGATCTTCAATCACTGATACCCTTTCTTCCACTTGATTGAATCTGCTGTTGAAGCTTGTGCATGTGTCATGAAGTTCTCATGCCAGTTTTCAGCTCCATCAGGTTACTTAAGGTCTTCTCTACACTTTTTATTCTCATTAGCCATTCATCTAACCTTTTTTTCAGGGTTTTTAGCTTCCTTGTGATGGATTAGAACATGCTCCTTTAGCTTGGAGAGGTTGTTATTACCAACCTTCTGAATCCTACTTCTGTCAACTTGTCAAAATCATTCTCTGTTTAGCTTTGTTCCCTTGCTGATGAGGAGTCGTGTTCCTTTGGAGGAGAAGAGGCACTCTGGTTTTTAGAATTTTCAGCCTTTCTGCTCTGGTTTCTGCCCAACTTTGTGGTTTTACCTATCTTTGGTCTTTGATGTTGGTGACCTACAGATGGAGTTTTGGTGTAGATGTCCTTTTTGTTGATGTTGATGCTATTCCTTTCTGTTTGTTAGTTTTTCTTTTAACTATCAGGTCCCTCAGCTGCAGGTCTGTTGGAGTTTGCTGGAGGTCCACTCCACACCCTGTTTGCCTCAGTATCACCATCAGAGGCTGCAGAACAGCAAATATTGCTGATCCTTCCTCTGGAAGCTTTATCCCAGAGGGGTACCCACCTGTATGAGGTGTCCATCGGCCCTTACTGGGAGATGTCTCCCATTTAGGCTATATGGGTTTCAGGAACCTCCTTGAGGAGGCAGTCTCTTTGTTCTCAGAGCTCAAACGCCATGCTGGGAGAACCACTGCTCTCTTCAAGCTGTCAGAGAGGGATGTTTAAGTCTGCAGAAGTTTCTGCTGCATTTTGTTCAGCTATGCCTTGTCCACAGAGGTGGAATCTATAGAGGCAGTAGGCCTTGCTGAGCTGCGGTGGGCTCCACTCAGTTTAAGCTTCCTGGCCACTTTGTTTACCTACTTAAGCCTCAGCAATGGCAGATGCCCCTCTCCCAGCCAGGCTGGAGCCTTGCAGGTCAATCTCAGGCTGCTGCACTAGCAGTTAGCAAGGCTCCCTGGGTGTGGGACCCACCAAGCCAAGCATGGGAGGGAATCTCCTGGTCTCCCAGTTGCTAAAACCATTGAAAAGTGCAGTATTTGGGCAGGAGTGTTCTGTTTCTTCAGGTACAGTCTGTCATGGCTTCCTGTGGCTAGGAAAGGGAAATCCCCCAACCCCTGTGCTTCCCACATGAGATGATGCCTTGCCCTGCTTTGGCTCACCCTCTGTGAGCTGCACCCACTGTCCAACCAGTTCCAAGGAGATGAACCAGGTACCTCTGTTGGGAATGCCAAAATCACCCATCTTCTGCATCGATCACACTGGGAGCTGCAGACTGGAGCTATTCCTATTCAGCCATCTTAGAATGGACCACTGTTGATTCCCTTTTTAACCCTCTCTAGTCAGTCAATTTAGATTCTCAGTTACATGTTGATCATTTCTACATTGTTTTGAAAAAAAATGTAGAGAGAGATTGCAAGTTTTCTACAGGGATGAATCTACCGTAACATCATCTTTACCCTTTACCCCCAGCCAAAAAAATCTTCCTGTTTTTGCTTTCTTATTTTTACCTTGGAGAAAGTATCACAAGATAAGGTAACTGCCTAAAATAGACCTGATCTCTTTCTGTTAGAAGTTCTGTGGCTGCACATCTATAAATTAAACTGGTTAAGATCACACTGTGGGAATACAAATTTGAAGCTGCCTTCCATATGTTTGTATATTATGCCCTGGGTTGTAATAAGAATTGTGTATAATAATTATAATTTTCATAATAATTGTGACAGTAATTATAACAAAACTCAGATAAACATCAACCCAGAAGAAGTCAACTTCTCATCTGGCAGGGTTCTAGTGATGTAAACTGAAAAAAATAATGTTTTTAATGAAGTGTCTGAACTTGCAGCCCCTTTGAGTAGCAATTAAAGGGAATCCAGTGAATTATAAATTCAAGCAACTGGGCCCTTCTGCAAAAGCTACCCTGTCCAGACTCTTATTAGAGGACCACCTGGCAGGGCTTGGGAAAAATCTGATGCCTTCTCCCTTACCCACCTTTCCTTTTACCTGTGAACAGAAACTGCATAGGGAAAATCTCACCCAAATTCATTATTAGCCACTGGAGACTTCTAGGTTGCAGCATTCTGGTTCCTGGTCCAGTTTCCTGATGGACTTGAAACCTAGGTCTGAGAAATGCTGCAGCTGATCCAGGCCAATGAGTGGAGCTCAGGCTTGTGACCATCCTGAGCAGGGAAGGTGCATGGCCAGTGAGCACATGAATCATGAGAGCTGGCCAAAGATGCATCTGCCCTGGCAGGAAGCCAAAGGAGATGAAACGCTCTGCAGAAAGGGATCCCTTGCTAGAACTAATGCAGCAGCATCTGTGTTTGTTTAAAAGATGTAGAGCAAGAGAGCATGTGTGATTTCACTTCTTGAAGAACATTTGGAGCCAATTTCAGCACCCAGATCTTCACAGGAAGACCTCATGGGGGCTCTGTGATGTGAGTGGGTGTTAAGGGCAGAATTGCTTTATTTGAAGGGGGAAATATTCCAGTCTAACCTTTTAAGTAAAAAACAGAGAGCATTTAAAGCTGAAGAACTCTCTACTGTTTGGTTATCAACAGAACCTGAGCCCCTCCTTCCTGCCAAGAACAGGTATGCATTAACTGGAAATTTCAGTAAAAACTGATACTGCCTTACTATTTTAAAGGAAAGGGGAAACAGCTATACACTTAGAAAGCAGGGATGATCACAATGTCATTAATGCCATCTCCTCAAGACTGAAGCATAAATTGACTTCAGTGGTTCTCAAGTTGTAGTTCCCAAGCCAGCAACAGTGTCATCACCTGGGAGCTTATTATAAATGCACATTTTTGGGTCACATCCCATACTTCAGGGATCAGTAGCTCTGCATTAGGCCCCAGAAAACTGGGTTTAACCTGGAAGTTTAATCCTCTGGGAAATTCTGTTGCATGCTGAAGTGTGAGAAACCACCAAGTTTCTTTAAACCTAACCAGCAGAAATGAAAGGTAGCCTCAAACACAGAAACACGTTTATTTGTTCCCAATTTATTGCACCTCCCATGTTCAAGATACCACTCTAGCTGAAGTCAGAGTTTAGAAGAACACTGATCCTGATACTTCGGAGTTTTACTGGTGTATTTGCAAATTTAACCCCTGCAGTGTCCTGTTCCCCTGTTACCAGGAGGACATAAATAAAGCAGAATAAATAGAACTGTTCATTTGGTTATTTATGAACATCCAACACAGGGCTTATTATCTTCGGCATTATTGACATTAGGGACCAGATAATTATCTGTTGCAGGGACCACTCTGAATTGTAGGATGTTCAGTGGCATCCTCGGCCTCTATCCACTAGATGTCGGTAGCACCACATTCCATTGTGACATCAAAAACTGCCTCCAGACATTGCCTAGTGTTGCCTCATTTGAGAATCACTGGGTTAAATTAGATTCTGCTGGCTCTGGAAATGAAAACTACATTAAAGAATTAAGCCTCTGGATTCAATAAAGGCCTAAACTATATTCAATGACAATGTCCACAAACATACTCACCTCCCATGCACAGGCTATGAAGGAAGAAATAGGCAGGCAATATTGGTTTCAAGCTACCGTGACTGAGCTAACCCTTCCTTCCATGTGATCTTCAGACATGCCTCCAAACCAAAACAAACAGTATGTATATTTGTAACAGTATGTTACAGACTTTGGCTCTATTGCGTATTCTTTGTATTTTTAGTTTCCTGATTCACAATAAAACAAAGCAAACATATATTGCTGTGCTATAGACTGAATGGTTTTTTCCCCCAAATTTCATACATTGGAACTCTCAACTCCAAGGCATTGGTATGGAGAGGTGGGATCCATGGGAGGGAATTAGTTCATGACTGTGAAGATCTCATTAATAGAATTCTTGTCCTTATGAAACAGGCCTCAGGGTGATCATTTGCCGTTTACCATGTGGATACACAGAAAGAAGGTGCCATCTGTAAAACAGATAAAAAAAAGTCATCATAAGACAGAATCTGTTGGTATCTTGATCTTGGACTCCCAGTGTATGGAGAACTATGAGAAATACATTTCTGTTGTTCAAAAGCCACCCAGTCTGTAGTATTTTGTTATAATCATGGAAACAGACTTTGATATTTTGTTGGAGATAATGGCATGGGGTCATCACATCTCTTAGTGTCAGAGGCATCCTAACCAGAGTGACTCCATCTTGATTAACAGCTGGATAAATCTAAGCCTGCTTACATTCTATGGGCTCTCTAGGTTATAAGATATTTCTGGTTGAGTTAACGATGCTAAGTAACTAAATAAAGACCCCAAGCTTATGGAAATGTCCTAATATTTTAATAATGGAAAGCATTCTTAGTTTAAGAATAAGTTTTACTTTAAAGTCTGGCAAGATAGGCCAGACCAAGATAGCCCCTTTGGGGACATTCACTGCTTCTCTGCTTGACTCCAAACAGCCCAGGGTCCTCCACTCTGGTTTTCTTATGTTCCTTTACTTCATCATGGGCTGGAGGTTGACATGACAAGAAAGTCACTTAGCTGCCCAATGACTTTAATAAATTGTTTTTCTTTTTACACACTAACTTATAACAGGCCCATATGGCATTATGAATCTTGAAAGGAACAAGAAATTAATATGATGAGCCCAGGCAAACAGCATAGAAATGCAGCTTAATCTCAAATATGACAATTGGAACCAATGAAATAGGCCTAGAAAAGGTGGATTTTCCCCTTCTTAGACTGTCTTTGTGAATTTCTCAAGGAAAGTACCATTGTTATACTAACAACCAGACTATTTCTGTCTCCAGAGGAAAGGTGATACAAAGAGGGTCAGCATAAACTCATTAGAAATACAGCTCAATGCAGTGCTAGAAACTCAAATTACTTTAAGTCGTATGTAAATTAAATTCATCAGTATCAAGATATTTTTCCAAGATTAGATTCCTTATGTTGGAATTTTAATCTTTTGGTTCAGGGGAACAGATAGCATGCTGGGCAAATACCTGCATATTATGTAGGTCAGTTAAATTTTACCATATCCAATGAGATGTGATTCAGCCATATACAGAAGGCAACATGTTTTCAAAGTTAGATCCTGCATGATATACACCATGTATGTCTTTCTTAAATGAAGATGGTTTAATTTTTAAGCGGTAAGGTAAGAAGACATGGCAGATCAGAGGGGACAGTCAACATACACTTTAGGCTCAGTTTCATAGACTGACTGACTCTAAAATTCACATATAACAGGAATTCTATTTCAATAACCACAATAAATGTCAAGCTTGGATGAAGCAACAAACCCCAAAATGGAACTGATTACTCAAATTAATTTAAACCTTTATACAACCAAATACAACTTAGTGAACACTTTGTCCACTTGCTACAATAAAAAATAAGGTTATATCTCTTCTAAACTTACTGCTAACAGCTACTAGCTCAATGAACTGTTTGTTGCTTACCAGTACACTCCCACTGCTGGACAATGACAAGCACTCAGTGGACATAAAACAGGTGTTTGCCAAATACACACATGAATGAAAGAATGAGTAGATGTAGTAAATGTCAGTGTATCAGGTTCTGTCTGCCACTTACCTAGGGTCAGAAATGGAGATCTGAGCTGTAACCCTTGCTACTCCAAAAGGGAAAGTATTGTTCTCCTCAGAAGAGGAAACATCCATCTGCATGTATATGTTTTACTATCAAAATACATGGCCAGTTTGAAACTCTATAAAAAAGATTTAATATAAATGCTTCACACTTTGTAAAACAAAGTTTAGAAACAGGCCAAAGGCAGTTGAATGAAAGAACCAGCAAGAAAGTGATGCACCTCTCTACAAAATGAATCCACTGCCTGCTTGGAACAGCAATCTTAATTGGTTACCAAAATGCCAGCAATGAAACAACAGACTGTAGATTTACAAAGCTTATGAAGAAGAGACTGCAAACTGTCATCCCTGAACTCCAGCCCCGAAGACAGTATTGACACATAGTAGATTTTTAGTATGAATTATAAACATACTCTCCACAAGTGGAATGTTCCAGTGCCATAAGATAATAGACTCACCGTACCTAAGAATGCTTGGGGATCTGCATTGAAAAAAGAAACCAGAATATTGCCTGAGAAGTGTAATTTTTAAGTCTTAAAAGGAGGGAAAAAATGCACTAAACATTAACCATGGCCTTTTTGGTTGTTGAGAATGCAGGTGACATTTTACAATTTTTTTCTTTTGCTTCTGATTTCCCCAATATTCTAAGAATATGTATTACTACTTTTAATTTTCCAAAAGTAATAAACTTCATTTTTAAAAGTTTTAAAGTTCAGGCAAAGGTTTTTAAAGCTGTCTTTATTGTAAGAGCTTTTTTGTATATTCTACCAGTATGAGTTTCAGCAACAGCTCCTGAAAAATTGATGTTTTAATGCATTTTATGAGTGCTTTGCTAAGGTTATTAAATTTGACATATAACCTTATAGTAGCAATATGTTCACAATGTCAGACATAGATGAGTAATTAAGAAAATGTTAAGGCAAAATTTTAAAAATAATTAAAAATAATTATGTCTAATAACGTATCAAATGGTTTTAAAGCAATGGTTCTCAACTAGAAACAATTTTATGCCCCATTTCATGAGACGATGCATGGATGCATTTTTGGGAGAAGGAAAGCTACTGGCATTTAGTATGTAGAGACCAGGGTAACTGCTAAACATCCCATAGTGCATGAAACAGTTCCCCACAATACAAATATACTACAAATGTCAGTAGTACCAAGATTGACAACTATATTAATTATGTTTTTAGGGAGGTAATGTTCTATTATTCTGTTAAATATACCTTGGAAAAACAGATATAATCAAAAAGAGAAAGTTTACAAAAGAAAACTGGAAGAAGCATAGTGATGATCACTACAAACATAATATGATTTTAAAAAATAAAGATTATTTAGGGGCAAAAGCAGAATTTATGACAAGTTATTTTCTGTTAAGGCATGGAAACAGCCATCTTCAGGTAGAGTTTTAATATCACTAGCAAAATAAATTATGTTAAATTTCTCTCTATTGGAAAAAGCAGGTAAGCAGAAGGAATTATTTTTGAAATGGGCTGTCTTACCTCTTTCTTGCTTCTTCATACTGCCAACTAAGTCCTAGTTGGTGTACCAACTTTGTTTTACGATGAAAATCAAACTTTCAGGAGCAGAAAAAAAGAAAAGGAAATAATATTGAAAACATATTCTCAACAGAGAAAATCCATTTAAACATTCAGCAACAATTTATAATATTGTTTTAATCTTTCCACAATTTCAATTATTAAAAAAGTCTGAAGAAAATGCTAGATCAAATAGCATTCTAAGGAATGTTTGACCACAAGAGTTGGGAATGGCTTTTTTTTTTTTCGCTTTACCAAAACTGCTGAACTTTTTTTTTTTTAACAGTGAAAGTGTACTAATCAGTTTTATAAATTTATACAATGAGAAGAAATGAAGTTTCTAAAAAAACTTTCTTAGAAGGAAATCACTTTGTAAATAGAAATTAGTGATATTTAGTAAGAAGTTCAAGACCTTAAGAAGACCAATGAGTCGTGTGTTGTATGGAATAAAGGAATCCTTCCAATATCTCATGGCATATAAAAGAACAAAAGGTAAACAAAGTATCAAAAATGCTTGGTATAAGGGAATATTACTTTAAGGGTAGTATGATTTAAAATACGGTGTTATGAACTCAATAATTGTACTTAAATATTTTTATTATCAATTATACTGAACTGAATAAAATGTTAGAGAAAACAAAAAGATTCATATGTAAGGTAACTATAGCTCAACTTGACTACTTCTCCCTTTCTGGAAAAGTCATACAACTGAATTTTCAATAAACCTGCTCCAACTATAGATCTCACTTTACTAGACCACATGTTATAACCAATAAGTCTTTTTATTTCTAATAACTTCATGTCAAGGCATATTTGAAAACAGTCCAGGCACAGTGGCTCACACCTGTAATCCCAATAATTTGGGAGGCTGAGGCAGGCAAATTACTGGAAACCAGGACTTCAAGACCAGGCTGGGCAACATAAGGAGGTCCTGAAAATACAAAAAAAATTTAAAAATTAGCAAGACGTGGAGGGGCATGCCTGCAGACTCAGATAATTAGGAGGTTGGGGCAGGAGGATCCCTTGAGCCTGGGAGTTTGAGGCTGCAGTGAGCCATGATTGTGCCACTGTACTCCAGCCAGGGCAACAGAGTAAGACACTTTCCCCCAACCAAAAGAAAAATAAAGAAACAAACAAAAAGAAACACTTGAAAAAATATATTTGAATATCTGATATATTTATTGATATATATTTTGACACATTTTACATGGTTTTGAAGTCAGAAATATTTAAACCCATACCTGCCTCTCCTGGCTACATGACCTTAGTAAACTAACAACTGTTTCCCCATCAAACATGGATGCAACAATACTTTCATGTGGGGGGCCAGGCGCTATGGCTCATGCATATAATCTCAGCACTTTGGGAGGCCGAGGCAGGAGGATCACCTGAGGTCAGGAGTTTGAGACCAGCCTGATCAACATGATGAAACCCCATCCCTACTAAAAATACAAAAATTAGCCAGGCATCGTGGCAAGTGCCTGTAGTCCCAGCTACCCACAGGAGGCTGAGGCAGGAGAATTATTTGAAAATGGGAGGCAGAGGTTGCAGTGAGCCAAGATCAGGGCATTGCACTCCAGCCTGGGCACCAAGAACAAAACTCTGTCTCAAAAAAAAAAAAAAAATACTTCCATCCATGAGATGATATCTGGGAAGCAGCCAGCCCAGTGCCAGCCTCATAAACAAGGATAACAACTGCATAACTTGCCTGCAACCTACTTGCTATTTTTAGGACATTCTACCTAAGTAATTAAAGAACTATTCAGTAGCTCCAAGCATTTGTATCTACACAAAAAGAAGTAGCAGTCTAAATCAACTTTGTAAGAGTTCTGAAAAACAGTCAAAGGTTTGTAGTAACCAAGGAAATGTACAGTCAAGGAAAGATGGCTGGGCATGGTGGCTTATTACCTTTATTCTTGTGATTCAGTTTAAACTGGTTTAAGAATATCTAAATTCTATTCCTAATCTTATTATAAAAAGCAATAAATTATTAAAGAAATTCAGTGGGTCCCATGTCTCTTTCTTATACTCACTACAAAATCATTAGGGAAAAAAATCTTTTTTTGTTATAGATTCTTCTCTATGTGATAAAGAGTTTGACCATATACTTTAAACCAAAGAATACAAGTGGTAAAAATATGTATGTGCACATAGGCTGTTGTGGAAAATCTAAAACATGGACTGTCATTATTAACTATACTATGCAATATTTGCTAAAATTCCAAAATAGTAGCTAATTATTTCTGTTTTTTTTTTAATATTTTCCCCTTTTTCTTTCTTTTGATATTTTTATGTCTTCTGCATTCCACTGATATTTCATCTTAAGCCTTAAGTAAATGCAAAAGTCCAATGCCTTTCCATTTAATAATGTTTCATTTAATAAGATTAAAAGTAGCATTTAAAAATATTCACAATCCTGCTTCAAGTAGCAATTACCAACTGTGATTTTATGGCTAATTCAAGGCTTCATAAATTATCAAAGGGCATTTTAAAATTCTCCAAAATCTCAAATAAAATTTATTTTAATTCAGGTCCATTTCCTGATATAGTTTTAGAAGAACAAGAAACTGTTCAGGCTACATATGGTAGCCCATGTCTGTAATCGCAACAATTTGGGTGGCCAAGGCAAGAGGATTGCTTCAGCACAGAAGCTCAAGATCAGCCTGGGCAACACAGTGAGGCACTATCTCTATAAAAAAATTAAAAAGGGAAAAAGAAAAAGAAAAACAAAATTGCCAAGAGTAGTAAAACTATAAAGTCTTCAGAAACTACTGTTTTAGGCCAGGGATTGGCCAACTGTGGCCCAGAGACCGTGTCTTATCGGTGGACTAGTTCTATAAGTAAACTATTAAAGGGACACAGCCACATCTATTTGTTCACCTGTTGTCTATAGCTGCTTTTCTGCAGAGCTGAATACTGGAAACAGAGTATATTCTGCAAAACCTAAAATACTTACTTTCTGGCCCTCTACCAAAAATGTTTGCCAATCTATGCTCTAAAAAAATTGTGTCTGTTAATGATTTGCCAATTTTTTGAGAAACCGAATCACAAGAATAAAGGTAATAAGCCACCATGCCCAGCCATCTTTCCTTGACTGTACATTTCCTTGGTTACTACAAACCTTTGACTGTTTTCCAGAACTCTTACAAAGTTGATTTAGACTACTACTTCTTTTTGTGTAGATACAAATGCTTGGAACTACCGAGTCTGCCATTTTGCTGACATATTCCTGTTATTTTTATTTTATTATTTTCTTAGAGACTGGGTCTTGCTCTTGTCACACAGGGTGGAATGCTGTGATACAGTCATGGCTCACTGGCAGAATCAGTGTCCTAGACTCAAACAAACTCTTGCCTCAGCCTCACAAGTAAGTGGGACAACAGCCATATGCCACCACACCCATGTAATTTTCTGTTTTTTGTAGAAATAGGGTCTTCCTCAGTTGCCATGCTTGTCTCAAACTCCTGGCCTCACGAGCTTCTCTTGCCTCAGCCTTTAGATTAGCTGGGGTTAAGAACACACATCTCCATGCCTAGCTAATTATTTTCTGTACAGAAAATGTCTCACTATGTTGCCTAGGTCAGTCTCAAACACTTGGGCTCAAGCAATCTTTCCGCTGCAGTCTTATGAGAACCTGGCTCTAGGCACACAAACCATGCCCAGCTAATTTTTTAAAGTTTTTATAGAAATGAGGTCTCACTATGTTGCCCACACTGCTCTTGAACTCCTGGCCTCAAGTGATTCTCCTGCTTCAGCCTCCCAAAATGCCAGGTTACAGGCAAGAGCCATCTTATCTGGACATTGTGTTTTTTTTTATAATTTGCTATTTTTATCACAATTATATATGGTCAAAGTAATCTCATAGGAATGCTAATTTGCCAAAAATTAAAGAAAGTTTGTATTCTGGCAAATAGAACCTCTAAGTGTATGAATTAAATAAAAATCATATTTTTCTATAATTTATTTTATATTTTTAAATATATTCACCTTCCAACTCAAGAAACATAATATCCAACACAGAATAAATTATGGAGCTGGCTCCAGATAAAGGCTTCTTCTCGCAAGAGATCAACACTGTTAAGTAGTATAAAAAAGACAAAATAACTTATTTGAATATAGTGGAAGAGGACTTTAGAGACCATGGAGGCTTCAAAAAGGATGTGAGGACATCAAGCTTCTTCTAGAAATGTATTAATATATCATGATATATTAATAATTAACATAGTATATTATATAATATAGTATGATATATAGTATGATAATATAGTATGATATATTAATGCTTAATATAGTATGATATATAACATAGTATAATATACTATATTAATTTAATTTAAATGTTTATTAACAGACTTTTTTTAGAGCATAGATTGACAAACATTTTTGGGAGTATGATATATAATACAGTATATATCATACTATATTAATCATTAATATATCACTATATTAATCATTAATATATCACACTATATTAAATATTATTATACTGCAGTAACTATATAATATGATATATTAATTATTAATATAGGATGATACATTATTTATTAATATATTTTACATTATTTATTAATAATTATATATTTATTAATATATCATGATACATACTAATTAACATATCATACATTATATAATTATTAATATATTATAACTAACAGTATATTAATATTAGTATTACTATATTGTGATATAGTAATCATTATATGTTATTAATATATTATAATCTATTAAGCATATATTATATATTTAGCTTATATTATTATGTATTAATTATAATATGTTAATATGTTATTGCTAATATAAATAATACATATAATTATTTATATAATTATATATAAATATATAATTGTAAGTATATAATTAATATATGATTCATAATGTAATTGATATAATACATTAATAATATATTTTAAAATAATTAATATACAATTAATATGATTATATTAATGTAATATTATATTAATAATATATTATATATTAATTAATCAATATATTGCAATGCATAATATATTAATATTATTAATAATTATTAATATATTGTTTTGCCATTGGGGAGAACCCAAGAAGGCAATTTGGTGGCAAACCCCAGTGCTGTATATTATAGTATGAGAGAAGGCATAGCACGAACACTGGCTGACCTCCTGCAGGGAAGCCTGTCATGAAATACCACCTAATTCACACTTTTTACATATTTGGGGTTTTGGATAGCACTATATGGGTAATATATGCAGAGCAACTTGTTCAATTCTGCATACACGGAGTCCTCAGTAAGTGGTACCCACTCTTCTTACCAATATTCAGTAAATCTAATAATTCATCATTGCCTTTTTATAATCTTGAGTGGTCATTTATAAATACAGATTTCTGTGCCCCATAAAAATAGATTCCGTTTCAGTAGTTCTAGGGTGGGGCCCAATAATCTGCATTTTAATAATCACTCAGACTAGACAATTTGTCCACAGCTGAGACATCACAAAGCACTACAATAGACATGGTTATTTGTATATTTCTCTCATTTTGCCTATGAGTCTGAGCTTCACTTCATTTATACGGCAGGTCTTACCTTGTATGGTATTTAGACTAATGTTTATAAAGTGCTAGGTGCTCACTTACAGGATTAAATCAACAACAACAAAAAAAAACAGAAACAACTGAATACACTCAAACATTAAGCAAAATGCAAGGCAAAACCACAGTGAGATACCATCTTACTCCAGTAAGGATTAATACTATAAAAAAAGCAAAAAGTAACTAATACTGATGAGAATACAGAGAAAATTAAGCAAAATAACCATCATGCACCCATCTTCAAAAGCTCAATTTTTTTAATAAAAATAACAGAAGCTACAGAATAGGGACCAAAAAATGAATAAATAAAAATAAAAAAGAAACATCCAAACTCTGAAATATTACACAACTATAACAAAACAAAAAAGTTCTTAGTGTACACATGTAGGATAATATATTAGTAAGCTAGTATAGAAAAGTGTGCTTACTAAGTAAATTTGTTATGAGGGCAGTTGCATATGCATTCATATTTTTATGTGTGTGCATAAACGTTAGATGCATACACAATAAACTAATAAATAAAACTATAAACTAATAAATAATGAACAAATAAAGTTGCCATAGGAGGGGAAATGGTGATAGCAGAACTCCTTCAAAATTATTTTGATTGCTAAACAATGTGACTTTTTCCCCTATTTTCAAAACACACTTTAAGTCCGTAAAATTAGTTATACATTATGTATGATAAATATTAAAATATACATGCAATAGGAAAAAATTATGTAATTAAAAAATGGGAAAAATACCTAATAGATTTTTAGGTATGACCAATAAATATATGAAAAATGCTTAACATCACTAATAATCAGAAAAATGCAAGTCAAAACCACAGTGAGATACCATCTTACTCCAGTAAGAATTAATAATATAAAATTAATAATTAATGTTAATCAGGATTAATAACTAATATTAATAAGAATAACATAATATTCATAAGAATTAATATTATTAAAAAGACAAAACATAACTAATGAGATGAGAATACAGAGAAAAGACAATTCTAACACACTGTTGATGTGAAGGAAAGTAATATAAACACTATGAAAAATAGTATGGAGTTTACTTTAAAAATTAAAACTACAATAACCATCTGACTCAGCAAAGTAATTGCTGTATATGTAGCTGTAAAAAAAAAACGAAGTATATCAGAAACACGTCTGCACACCTATGTTTACTGCAGCAATATTCACAAAAGCCAAGATAGGGAATCAACCTAATTGCCTAGTGATTAATGGATAAAGAAAATATGGCATATACATTCAATGAAACACTATTAAGCCATAAAACAGTATTAAATCCTTTCATTTGCTGAAACATGGAAAAAGCTGGAAGACATTATGATAAGTGAAGTAAGCCACACACAGAAAATTAAACAACACATGTTGTCACTCATATGCAGAACCTAAGTGAATTTTATACAGAAGCAGGGTAGAATAGTTGTTACCAGAGAATGAGCAAGGTAGAGGACTGAGAAAGACCGGATTGGTCAGTAGGTACAAAGTTAGCATTAGACATGAAAAATCAGATTTGGTGCTATCTACCCAGTAGGGTGACTATAGCAACAAGCAGTGTATTGTATATTTCATGATCGTGGCAGAGTAATGTTAGAATGTCAACACAAGGAAATGATAAATGACTAAAGTTAATAACAAATGGTTAATGAATATGCTAATTATTTCATCAATTTCATTATTGTACTACGTATATATTCATTGAAATATCTCTTTGTATCCTATAAATATGTACAATTGTTATTTGTCCATTATAAATTAAAAATAATAAAACGTGCATAGATAGACATAGATGAGGCAGCACTATAGGAGGCCAAGATGGGAGGACTAAGCATATACATATACACACTTTTCTTTTTTAAGTAAAAGGAAATTAGGCACAGTTGGACAGGTGGATAAATAAGAGGCCTGCCCAGCAGTGGTACCCAAGCCTTATTTGAATCAGGACTCATCTCTCCTTCTCTCCCATACAAATAGCTTTCTTGATAGTGCCAATCTCACTCATTATAGCCTGTGCCTCAGTTTACAGTTCATGTGAGTACTTGACATTTTATGATCAATTCTGATTAAAACAAAAATAAGAGTCATTCCAGATAAGATCATAGTATTACATTAAGCAATAATAACAGTAAAAACCCAAATCTTCATAAAAAGGTGGGAGACATACGAAAATTTTGTTGAAAATAAAATAAAGTAAAATTCTGTAAGTTTCCTTCTTTATGGTGAATGAATTCCTTTTCTCTGTGGCCATCTTATGCAAGTAAGTTAGAATTTTTCATGTCCTCTGCTATAGACTAACAATGAAGAAATCAGCTTAAGTAAATTCCCAACATTATATAGACTCTCTCAGAGTAAAACCATGCCTTCTTTGTTTATCTCTAGCACCTAGGTTATGGGTCAAAAATACTTATTGAATAAACACACAGGTGAGATCTGTACTGCAAGAATATATCACAAACAGCAATAAGTATTAAACTTTCAATAATGGTTCTACTTTTCCTCTGTGTACTTCCTTTTATTTTATCTTGATTCCAAATTACCACCTCCTGTATTCTTACCGTTGATCCAAATATAGTTGTCCCTGAAACAAGGAAACAGGCTTCAACTACATGGATCCACTTATATGTGGAAACTTTTTGGCAAGAAATATATTAGACATTTTGGAGGTAGAAAGTTGCAAGAATGTAAAAAAAAAGCTCACCAGCTTCACAGCATAGAAATATTGAAAAAAATTGACAGAAAAGTAGGGATTTCATGAATGCATGAATGTATGTAGATACTACTCTATTGTGAAATGGACAACTATAAAATGAACATAAATCTGTGATAAAACATTAAAATTTATCAAAACATGCACAGATGACAGCTGTACACAGAGCCACTTGCAGTCAAGGAAAATGTAAACAAATGTAAAGATATAGTATGAAATCATACAGCATAAGATTAAACTTTAGTAAGCTACGTGCAGTAGCTCACCCCTATAATCCCAGCACTACAGAAGGCCAAGATGGGAGGACTGCTTGAGCTCAGGAGTTCAACACCAGCCTGAGCAACATGGCAAAATCCATTTCTACAAAAAATACAAAAATTAGCTGAGCATGATGGGGCATGCTTGTAATCCCAGCAACTGGGGAAGCTGAGATGGGAGAATCGTCTGAGCCCTAGGAGATCAAGGCTGCAGTGGGTCATGATTGCAGTGCTGCACTCCAGCCAGGGCAAGAGCATGAGACCCTGTGAAAATAAAGAAAGAAGAAAGAAAGGAAAGAAAGAAAGATACAAGGAAACGGTATGGGAAAGGTAAAGGGAAGGGGAAAGGAAGGAAGAAGATTGATTATAGCACATGCTGCACTACTGTAATAATTTCATACCACCTGCTGTTGATATTGCAGTGAGATCAGCTGTTGTGAGTATATGTCTAAAAAGTCATGGGACACTAACAATTATCTCCATAGGAGAAATTCTTCTCTCCAGTAAACTGCATTGTATCAGTAAAAAAGAAATACCTTCTGTTTCTCAGGTCCAATATTTTTCATCATATTTAATGCAATGCTGTAAATCATGAAAAATGCCATGGAAATTATATGAAATGCCACTAGTAATTTTAAAAGTGCTCCCAAGAGGAAGAGAAAAGTCACATTAAAAGATAAAGGTGAACTGCTTAATATATACCATAAACTGAGATCTGCAGCTATGGTTAATGTGACATTTATTTATATATTTATTTTTTTGGCCAGGAAAACAGGGTTTCACTCTGTCACCCAGGATAGATTCCAGTGAAATTATTACAGCTCACTGAAGCATCAAATTCCTGGGCCCAAACAATTCTCTCACCTCTCTTAGGCCCAGAAGCTTGAGCTCCCAAAATTCCGGGATTACAAGCATAAGGCTCTGTAGCCAGGCTTTGCTTGTCAGTTCAAAATAAATGAATACAAGTTAAAAACCAAAGTAAAAAAAAATTCTTTTAATTTTGTTTATAGTGTCGCTAGTATACATACCACTGTCACACATACCAGTGATACTATAAAGCAACAACATAAACAAGTCTGAAAAACAACCAGTGACCATCATGAAGATAAGCTCAAACCCACACATAATATTAACCTTAAATGTAAATGGACTACAAACCCAAAGTAAAAGGCACAGAGTGGCAAGCTGGATAATGAGCCAAGACCCATCAGTATGCAGTCTTCAAGAGACTCATCTCACATACAGTGACACACCCAGGCTCAAAATAAAGAGATGGAGAAAAATTTACCAAGTTAATGGAAAAGACAAAAAAGCAGAGGTTGCAATCCTAGTTTATGACAAACAGACTTTAAACCAACAAAGATCATAAAAGAAAAACAACGGCATTGCACAATGGTAAAGGGATCAATTCAATAAACAGACTAAACAATCCTAAATATATATGCACCGAACAAAAGAGCACCCAGATTCATAAAGCAAATTTCTAGACATCTTCAAAGAGACATAGTTTCCCACACAATAATAGTGGAAGAATTTAACACCTTACTGAAAATATTAGACAGCTCATCAAGGCAGGAAAATAACAAAGATATTCAGAATCTGAACTCAGCTCTGGATCAAGTAGACCCGATATCTACAGAACTCTCCATCCAAAAACAACAGAATATACATTCTTTCATCACTATGTGGCACTTAATCTAAAATTGATCACATAGTCAGACAAAAACCACTCTGCAGTAAAGGCAAAATAACTGAAATAATAACAAACAGTCTCTTGGACCATAGCACAATCAAACTGGAACTCAACAGGAAGAACTTCAATCAAAACCATACAACTGGCTGGGCACGGTGGCTCAATCCTGAATCTCAGCACTTTGGGAGGCTAAGGTGGTTGGATCATGAGGTGAGGAGATCGAGACCATCCTGGCCAACATGGTGAAACCCCATCTCTACTAAAAATACAAAAATTAGCTGGGTGTGGTGGCACATGCTTGTAATCCCAGCTACTAGGGAGGCTGAGGCTGGAGAATCACTTGAACCCAGGAGGTGGAGGTTGCAGTTAGCCAAGATCATGCCACTGAACTCCAGCCTATTGCCAGAGCGAGACTCTGTCTCAATAAATAAACAACAACAACAACAAAAACCAGACAATTACATGAAAATTGGACAACTTGCTCCTGAAAGACTTCTGGGTAAATTATGAGATTAAGGTAGAACTACTGAGAACAAAGATACAACACACTGGAATGTCTGGGACAGAGCTAAGGCAGTGTTAAGAGGAAAATTTATAGTATTAAATGACCACATCAAAAAGCTAGAAAGATCTCAAGTGAACAGCCTAACAACACAACTGAAAGAAATTGAGAACCAAGAGCAGACAAACCCCAAAGCTGGAAGATGAGAAATAACTGAGATCAGAGTAGAACTGAAGGAGACAGAGACACAAAAAATCATTCAAACAATCAACAAACCAGGAGCTTTTTTTTTTTTAATGAACAAGATAGACCGCTAGTTAGATTAATAAACAAGAAAAGAGAAAAGATTCAATGAATACAATCAGAAATGATAAGAGGGATATTACCACTTACTTCACAGAAATACAAATAATCATCAGAGAATATTATAAACACTGCTATGCACATAAACTAGAAAATCTTAAAAAAAAAACTGATAAATTCCTGGACACATACAACTCCCAAGACTGAACCAGGAAGAAACTGAATCCCTGAATAGATGAATAATGAGTTCTAAAATTGAGGCGGTAATTAATAGCCCAGAACCAGAAATATTCACAGCTGAATTCTACTAGGACCAACTATCTGATCTTCTACATAGAAAAGGTGGTACCATTCTTACTGAAACTATTTTTTTGTTGTTGAAAAAGAGGGAATTCTTCAAGAAGAACTACAAACCACTGCTCAACAAAATAAAAGAGGACAAAAACAAATGGAAAAACATTCCATGCTCTTAGAGAGGAAGAATCAATATCATGAAAATAGTCTTACGGCCCAAAGTAATTTATAGATTCAATACTATCCCCATCAAGGTACCAATGACTTTCTTCACAGAATTGGAAAAAACTACTTTAAACTTCATATGGAAGCAAAAAAGAGCCCACATAGTGAAGACAATCCTGGGCAAAAAATAACAAAGCTGGAGGCATCATGCTACCTGACTTCAAACTTTACTACAAGGCTAAAGTAACCAAAACAGCATGGTACTGGTACCAAAACAGAGATATAGACCAATGGAACAGAACGGGTGCCTCAAAAATAACACCACACATCTACAACCATCTGATTCTTGAGAAACCTGACACTCACAAGCAATGGGGAAAAGATTCTCTATTTAACAAATGGTGTTGGGAAAACTGGCTAGTCATATGCAGAAAACCAAAACCGGACCCCCCTTCCTTATGCTTCATACAAAAATCAACTCAGGATGGATCAAAGACTTTAATGTAAGACCTAGGACTATAAAAACCCTAGAAGAAAAGCTGGGCAATACCATTCAGGACATAGGCGTGGGTAAAGACTTCATGTCTAAAACACCAAAAGCAATGGCAATAAAAGCGAAAATTGACAAATGGGATCTAATTAAACTAAAGAGCTTATGTGCAGCAAAAGAAACTATCACCAGAGTGAACAGGCAATCTACAGAATGAGAGACAATTTTTGCAATCTATCCATCTGACAAAGGGCTAATACACAGAATCTACAAAGAACTTAAACAAATTTAAAAGAAAAAAGCAAACAACCCTACCACAAAATGGGGCAAAGAATATGAACAGACACTTCTCAAAAGAAGACATTTATGCAGCCAACAGACATATGAAAAAATGCTCATCATCACTGGTCATCAGAGAAATGCAAATCAAAACCACAATGAGATACCATCTCAAGCCTGTTAGAATGGCAATCATTAAAAAGTCAGGAAACAACAGATGCTGGAGAGGATGTGGAGAAATAGGAACACTTTTACACAGTTGGTGGGAATGTAAATTAATTCAACCATTGTGGAAGACAGTGTGGCAATTCCTCAATTATCTAGAACTAGAAATACCATTTGACCCAGCCATCCCATTACTGGGTATATACCCAAAGGATTATAAATCATGCTGCTATAAAGACACATGCACACATATGTTTATTGCGGCACTGTTCACAATAGCAAAGACTTAGAACCAGCCCAAATTTCCATCACTGATAGACTAGATTAAGAAAATGTGGTACATATACACCATGGAATACTATGCAGCCATAAAAAAGATGAGTTCATGTCCTTTGCAGGGACATGGACAAAGCTGGAAACCACCATTCTCAGCAAACTATCACAAGAATGGAAAACCAAACACCACATCTTCTCACTCATAAGTGGGAGCTGAACAATAAGAACACATGGACACAGGGAGGGGAACATCACACACTAGGGCCTATGGGGGTGGGGGTCTAGAAGAGGGATAATATTACGAGAAATGCCTAATGTAGGTGGCGGGTTGATGGGTGCAGCAAACCACCATGGCACATGTATACCTATGCAACAAAACTGTACATTCTGCACATATAACCCAGAAGTTAAAGTATAATTTTAAAAAAAGGAAAATAAAATAAAATATAAAAGGATGCTATCACAATCAAAGCAGTACATAATTCAATTAACTCTAATTGAAGGCAATTAGCTGGATTCCTTGTGGTGGGTGCAGAATTCCATCTATCTAAATCAGACAATAAAAAGTTGAAAATAAAATTTGCATAAAGGTGAAATTTCCACAAGGAAAATTACTGAAGGAATATATTTTAAGGACTATAAAGCTGCATGGCAGCTAAAAAGCATGCGTTTGAGTTTCCCTGTTGATATGGTGTTACTGGCTTGGAAAAGGATCACAGATCAGATCCCAAATTCCAGTCCCTCAGATCAGATGGTTTAACCTAGATCTGTAGCAGGATCTTGGTTTTGAATCTTTATCTGGAGATCTTGGCACTGCTAAAGATAGTGATTTTCACTCATTAGTTGGATAAATGACTTTGCAAATCCATCAGGCTGTAGAAGTAATATAGAGACAGTGACATCATATATAGAAAGTATTAATACTGTGATAGTTTATGTGAGATATATTTTAAGTCATGATGATAATTTATGTTTCTTATATGTAGCATACGAAATGTTCAAAAGATGATATGTTAGAGAATCTTTGATATTTTAGAGAATTTAATTACTTGTTTTGTATTTTTAATTAGAAATAGCTGATTATAACTATGATTTAAATTTGACATGCATTAGGGAATGTAGATAATTAAGGGGATTATAAACAGTGCTTGAATGCTTACTAAACTTGTACATTCAATTTGCTTCATTTTAAAAAGCTGCTTAAGAATTTACAAAGACTGTTTTAGTTTGTAAGTTGGCCTTATCAGGAATGTGATGTTTGAAAAAATAAAAAAATTAAACTTAAAAAAAAAAATCTCATACTATTAGGACTTAAAAGTTTTCCAGACCTAAGCCTAAAAGGTCTTTTACTTATGACTAGACTATATGGAAAAGAGGCTCTTTCACCTGTATGTAAACATACCAACTTGCAGATATAGAAGAAAATGACAATAGTTACACTTAGGATCTTTGCTATAAATAGCAGAAGATAACATGTTCCAAAAGATTAACTAACTTGTAGCCTCAAAAAGAGGGCCCTCATGAGCCATGTCAGAATTCTTTTTGAGGCTACAAGTCTATCCCAATCCCACTCACTGTCTTAATTTACCTCCCTTAAAATGGCGAGAAAGTTGTTGCCTAGATGACAAGCAATATTACTATACCTCTTCTACGTATTTAGTGTCGTTTCACTCATTTCCTTAATAAAATTGGACAGACAGAAAGAATTTTGTTACAACAGCTTCAAATCATTGTCTAATATTTTAGTTAATCTTTTCAGACACATTGTTGTGGAACAATCACCACCATACATCTCCAGAACTCACTTCATCTTGAAAAGTGAAACCCTACACCCATTAAACAATAACTCCCTATTCCTTGCCTCCTGCTAGCCTAAAGTAATCTCTGTTTTATTTTCTATGTCTATGAACTGGCCTTTTGTAAGATACTATCATCAGCAGCTCCTGACATGAGCCCAGCCCCTCTGGTATGACTATCCAGGACACCTGTTAGATATTGACAATTCAAGCAAACAGGATCACTGTCTTGATCTAGGGACAGCAGCAACCTCATGAACCACTTGAATTAAGTCCTGGAATCTATGCATAGTCATGCCATCAAGATCTGCTAGCATCCTCAGCATGTTTATGAAAGGTGCTGAAGATGAGGCAGATGCTATCTGGCTTTCAAGGCAAGCTACACAAGTGGAAGCAGAAATTGTATTTACACAAACACTTTTAGCAGGTCTGAAATTGTAAAATCATGAGCATGTCAGAATCTCACCACAGAGTCGTTGTCAGCTTCCTCACTAAAGAAACATATGCCAGCTCAAAGAGAACATTTTAATATTTTTACCAAGCCATTAATCAAATTCCATGGGGTGTAGAAAGAAATGTAATGTAATGCACTTTTTATCTAAATATCAAGGGAGTGAAACATTAGAGGAAATATAAAAGCTGAAACTGTTACATGTCTCAGCCCCATGTGACCACAAGTATGAAATTTGCTTAACCAATAGGCTCAGCATTGTCCCATTTCTAAGTGAATCCTAACTATGTCAGGTCACATGTTGCATTCCTTCTTTGCTTCCCCTCAGAGTAGGTGTAGAAACCTGTTTTATATACTGAAGGGCTCAGACTGCACTGCAGCTGAAGCCCTAATTGCTAGAGTAATTGCCAGTACAGTATACGAACTTATGTTGACTAAATTTTTGTTGTGAATGGCTAAAACTTGACAAGAAACTTGAAATAAAATTCTTCTCAAGTTTTTCTGATATATTATTCTTCAACCCCATTCTTGGAAAGACTTGCTTAAGCATTTTCATCAAAGACATTACCAAACCTACCATGTAATTAAAGGCTACTGGATGGAAACATACTATTAGGTGGAATAATATGAAATTACCAATATTCTGTGATGTTTTACCTATAAAATGATCATTTTGTATGGTTTAGCCTAGCTTTAATTAAATAAAGAAAACTGTCCTGAAAAACTATGAAGAAATAGCTTAAAGAAACAGCCTAGCTTTAATCAAATAAAGAAAGCCTTCCTGAAAATCTAGAATCAGTAACTACATGCTCTTACAACCAGTTGCAAGGTAGTTTATTATGTATTAGCTCAAAGCAAAATGTCTATGGGCTTCCATTCCTATGAGATTACTAAGAGAGACCCTATACTAGGCCACAAAAGTCATCTCAAAAGATTTCCAAAGAACAAATTCCTAAACATTATATTTTTTCTCCATAATGGAATCAAAGTAAAAATCAACAAAAAAAATCCTGTAAAGTCCCAACAACTTACTTCTAAATAACCTGTGGGTTAAAAAATAAATTACAAAGGAGATTAGAAAATCTTCTGAAGCTAAGAAATATGGAAACAAACCATGCTGAAATTCATGAGATGTAGTTAAAGATGTGCTTAAAAGACTAGTGCATTATTTTGAAAGTTCTATGAGAAAGAAGAAATGACTGAAATCAGTGATTTAACTTTCTAACTTAGTAAGCTAGAAAACAGAAAATACCTGTGGAGAACAAGAGGGACTTTATTTTAAATGCTATTCTTCCATGTAACTTCTTGACTAAACCAGAGCCAGGCATACCTCTAAAATGTCTAGCTGATACATTGCTGTTTTTATAGGGACACCTTTTCACTGTACCTTCCCTTCAAAATAATCCTTGTTGCAGAAATTATAACCTGTGACTTTCATATCTACCTACACATTTCTTTAACAGCACGTATGTTTTATCCCAGAATACAATTCTAAGGTCTGGGGAGTTGTGGTGTAGAGATCTAACTGTCTTATGGCCACCCAAGACCACACTTCCGTCTGCAAATTCTCTTAGTAAATTATCCAAAACTCACAAAGTGCATTTGTTTGCATCCTTCTTTGGTTTCTCAGCTTCTTCAGCATTTCGGGGCTGCTTTAGATATACAGCCCCTTTACAAAACTGTAACAAGTGAACAACAAACTAAATGGAAGAAAAACAATAAGGAATATAAATCAATAAAATACAAAATAGAAAATAATAATATTACGTACAATAAACAGGAAGACCATTGGAAGGATAAGTAAAACTGATAAACCTTTGCATTGACTAAGAAAATATAGAAAACACAATTATTCATTATCAGAAAGAAAAGAAAGGACACCATTACAGAGTCTACAGATATTAGAAGGATAAGGGAATTCTTAGAGCATTACAAAACTGACATCTTAGATCAATGAACAGCAAATATCCCAAGATTGATATCCTGTTGTTGCCTGTTGTTATAATTTTATTGGAACACCCTCACCAACATTTATTATATATTGTCTCTAGCTGCTTTTGTACTGTAATGAAGTTAAATAGTTGCAAATAAGACAATATGGTCCAAAAATCTTACAATATTTACTATCTGATTCTTTTATGGAAAAGTCTATAGATTTTTGGATTAGATGAAACAGACAACTTCCTTAAAGAACATAAATACCAAAACTGACTAAAAAAGAGAGAAAAAATCTGAGTAGTTCTGCATCTATTAAAGGTGATATTTAAACAAACTATAAATTTCAGGCCCATATGGCTTTTGCTGTAAGTTGTAGCAAATATTTAAGAAAGCATTAATGTGCTGGGTGTGGTAGCTCACGCCTGTAATCCCAGCACTTTTGGAGGCTGAAGAGGGTGGATCGCGAGGTCAGGAGATGGAGGCCATTCTGGTCAATATTGTGAAATGCTGTCTCTACTAAAAATAGAAAAATCAGCTGGGCGTTGTAGCATGTGCCTCTAGTCCCAGCTACTTGGGAGGCAGAGGCAGGAGAATTGCTTGAACCAGGAAGTCAGAGGTTGCAGCGATCCAAGATCTAGCCACTGCACTCTAGCCTGGTGACAAAGTGAGACTCCTTCTCAAAAACAAAAAACAAAAAACCCAGGAAGCATTAATGGTAATCTTACACAAAGTCTTCAGAAATGAAAAGAAAAGGGAATACTTGACAATTCATTATTTAAGTCCAGCATAACTCTGATAAGAAAGTTAGATAGCTATTGCAAGAAAAGAAAGCTATAGAAATGAGAAACTAATCTCTAAAAATTTGTACTGAGATGATCATTCTGAATAAGGGCTTAAAAAACTGTTATTTACCTGTAAGAGAAAAAAAAAATAAGACATGCCAGTATGCTTCAGTGCTCTCTATTCTCTTAAGGCTCATGACTACAGAGACATCTTAAATTTGTATTAAGGGGGAATATCCCATTATTCTCCACAGCATGTATGGCTTATTTGCCTTCACCAATAACTGCAGTTTAAATCCAAACAAACAAAAACCAAAGAATATTGCCTTTTGATCTTAATTCCAATGTGATTAGCAACACAGCATAAAGCTATGACTATGTCCTTAATGTTTAAATCTTTTTTACTGAAACCGAAAACGTGGCAAAATAAGTGGTATCACAGGAAAGACTCACATGTCTTAAATAGACTTAGGGTTTTATAAAATACAATCTAGTGGTACCAACTTCATCCATGTTCTCCAAGTTCATGGATGCCTACGTCAGTTGTGTCCATGGATAACTGTGGGGAGACTGTAGAGGGCAACAGCTCTGCTGGGAAGGAATTGGCTCACATGTGACTGACTGTGTTCAAAGCAAAATGCTTTGGCTTCTCCCAGAACAGCCCTCTTCAACACTGACAAACATGAGGCATAAGGTTGTTTCACACAGTACCAGAAATTGCATTTGTTTGTTCATTTTCTGTTTTCCCTACTTAAGCATGAGCTTCGTAAGGGCAGGGACATTTACTGTCTTAGTTACCACCATATCCAAGTGCCTGGGCACAAAGTAACAACTTGAAAAAATCTTTGCCACAGGAGGGGCTACAGGATGCTGATCTGATTCCAGTGCCAAATATTGATTACCCCGTATGAGATCAGAACATTTGGAAGCCATCTTGCCTGAGAAAGGGTCAGTGTTTGCAGATAACCTAGCAGACAGACAGCTTTCAAAGTCATTCATGTTAACCAAAGGAGACACATCAACTCACAGCTGACATATGACTGGCTGTCATCCTCACACATTTTGTGCAGCTGCTGGTATTCCTTCTAGGCCAGCTAGAACCGCAGCTGCTTAATCTGGTAGATTTCTTTCTTGGCATTGAGAGCCTCCTGGGCTACAGTTAAATATTCCTTCAACCTGTGCTCTTGCTCTCCCTCCACCATTCTCTTGGATCCTCAATATCAGTAAGCTTTAAAATTTAAAAAGTGAAAACATAAATGACTTTAAAGTAAAATCCTTAGGTTGACCAACAGTCATGCAGTGAAATCACTCATCAACGTGAAAACTAATTAATTACCAGGATGCACATTATGGAAGAGTCTGTACACTTTTAAAACTGTGGAACATTTTCTGTTTATATATACATAGTTGAGTTGAGAAGAAAACTCTACAAATATGGAATAGTGCATTGTAAAGAGGAAGATCATATAAAACAATTTTTTCACCAACAAGGATTTCACTTTAAGTGTTGGAGGAGATGAGCCAAGTGAGCTCACAGCTGTCACTCTAATTGCTGAATAGCTGTTTAAAACCTTCTTTGCATTGACTCATTCCACGTGGGATGATACAAACTCTATCACCCTGGCCTGGTTGCCTCTCTTCCTCTTTCAACTTCCAGAATAGACCATGCATCCTTGTCTCTTCCCACCATAGCTTCCCTCATGTCCACTCCTACTTCTTCCCTGTCCAGATCTCCAAGAGCCTGTGCCTACTTTCAGCTCCAGCCTGTCTCCCTGGCTCCAATCTTTCATTCCCGCCTGCCTCCTGGATGCACCTCCACCTGAATGGAGCCAAGGTCATTCCCAGCCATCCATCAAAAGCAGCCCTCATTCTCCATACCACCTTTCCCCATCAAAAGCAAAACAAAACCAAACACAACACAGCATACTCCTGCTTCTCCTGTCTTCCCGTCACGGGGAGCCGCATCATCTGGATCTAAACGCAGAGCCAGCCTGGGAGTGCAACCTGGGACTCATCCTCACAGAATCTCACTCTTCTCCCTCCTGAAACATTCAGTAGGTCATGAAGAACTGGAGGTTCCTGCTCCTGAATATCATAATGACTGGTGACACCCCCTGTATCTGTCCCTTTGCTTCAAACAGATTCTCATGGGCTTCTTGTCACATCCCACCAAAACCCATCCTCAGTGCCTTCTCTAAAGTGATCTTCCTAACTGGGCAGCAATGCTTTCAGCAGAAATCTCTTTGAAAGCACAAAGTCCAATCTCCTTAGCCTGATATAGGAGTCCCGAAACTCACTCATCAGCTTCATCTCTATTTTCTGTCCTTTTCCTCAAAAACATCCCCTACAAACTGAACTTCTGTGAAGTCCCCAAAGATGCCTGATTGGCTCCCCTGTGCCTTTGCCACGCTAACTCAGTCCTCTTCTGTCACAGGAAAGCCTGCCATCTTTCCAGACACGTTGCAAAGGCACTTCTTTTCTGAGGCCTTCTCTGATCGTCTAGCCACACACGTCTATCCGGCTTACGTGGACTGCCCCTTTTTCTGCTTACACTGGGCACGTGTTTTTATATCTTTTCTGTTTCCCACCTAAACTATGGACTGTAGAGGGCAGGGGCTCTGCCTCAGTCATCTTTATACTCTCAGGACCTTTCAATTAGTCTAAATACAGAAGGTAGTCCATATGTCAACTGAAGGAGGAGGAAGAGCTATCTGCTCCATAGACAAGAGGACTACAGTCCTGAAATCAGATCCTTAAATAAAGCACACTGTAGGGAAACAAACAAGATGACAGAAAGATGTGGCTGCCTTTCTTCACTGCAACCAGTCACCTACTGGAGATAACAATAAAAGTGCCACTCTAAGTGAGGTAAAAAATGACTAGCTATATCCTTTCCAGGCTACAGTGGCTCCTTTATACTGACGACACATTAAGAAATTTATGCAGGGTGCTGGCAGCCAAAATAAAATAAAAGAGACTTTATAGGAGAAAATTGCTGGTAAAATTTTCTTCACCCAAATTCTAACTAAATATGCAAAATATTTTAAAATTTTTAAGAACTTTTGCTAAGTTTTAAACAAGTTCTTTCTTGGAAGCTCCCTCCCTTTCTACTCTTTTGAGAATACCCTCTACTTATCCCCATTCATATCACCACACCAGGGTGCAGGACTTGTTCATTCATGTCATAGCAGCATTATTCACACAATAGCCAAAGAGGAAGCAAGTCCAGTAATCAACAAATGAAATTGAGGCAGGGAAATAGGATCTGGAGGCAGGGAACATAATAAGGTCGATTCACACTTCAGCTATGACAGGAAATATCCTCTCCATAGGGTGTATGCCGAGTAAATGACTTTGTAACTTTACTTCATCCTCTCCATCTACATAGGGTGTACACCAAGTAAAGGGTATACACCAAGTAAAGGGTGTTATAAACTCACAAAAACTCTGTAACAAGCTCCTTGATCCTCTATGCTCAGGCCTACTCCCACACTGTGGAGTATACTTCCATTTTCAATAAATCCCTTCATTCCTTCCTTGCTTTTTTTGTGCATCTTGTCTAATTCTTTCTTCAAGATACCAAGAACCTGGACAGATTCCACTGTTAACATATTTTGGTGAGCCAGCCAGGAGGAAAAGGTAAGCCCAAAGTTTGGGGTTTAGTCTTTTCCTTTCTCCTTTTCCTTTCTGCTCCATACTGGGGAATGTCTCCCTCTCTGTTTTCCTTTCCAAGATATGACCCTTGGTTGGCAGCACCTAAACATGGAAGCAACTGCAGGTTTCTGGCCATGCCAGTTGTTTGAAATGCTTGTTTCCCCAGTGCTGTAAAGAAATAGCACTTGAACATAAATTTAATTTATTTAGAAAGGCCATTTTTACTTCCTGCAGAAAGAGTACACTCGCCGGTAGTTTTGAAATGAGAGTACACTGAACAAAGGAGACAATCATTTATAACCTGATGTGTCCACCTCACTGCTGTGTTGGGTTTCCATTGGCTGGAATGGGATGTCAAATTTTGTATTTGTTTTGATTGGCTAGCAACTTAGAACTTTTTAAAAGAGGCAAAGGTAGAGGAGAACAAAGGAAGGAGAAAGTAACTTGTGGAATGCTGAGAAAGGTAAAATGCATTTAAATAAGGAAGAGGAACAGGCTACGACTTAATGCTTGCTTGGACCAGTATAAGCATGCCAGAGAAAATATTTAGGAGCACAGGTCTTTGAATAGATTTTGCTTCTAAGAGAAGTTACTATTTATTCCTAATTAGATGGGGAGGAAAGTCTTTGAAGAGGAAACTCTACTTTACTTTTTACAATATTCCCCCTCTTATTATTTTATGATTTCCCTTTAAACTTGTTTAATATGTTTTGACAATTGTTTTCTTTGTTCTTTTAAGAGAAGTAATTTTTTTTAATACTGTGGAGAAGAGTTAGGAGTTAACTCTGTAAGCGTGGCAGAGACAAGTTTTTGTATAAAACTTTGAAGTCAGGGAATAATATAACAATTTATAAGACTAAGTACACCAATAATAAGAGTGAACAAGGTGAGAATTGAAGTTAATTTTTTTTAATTTATAGTTACCTGCCAGAACAACATGGATTCAAATTTCACAGCTATTTGATTTTGTGTTTTAAACTTATTTGGCACTTCTTATAGGACCTTAATAACATTTATATAAATCTGAGGATTAAAAGACTTCAGAGTTGTTTTGGCCTGCGGTGTTTTGTTTTTACCTTTTTAGACTGATGAAATGCCAGGGTGAAGGGGATAGCCAATTCGTTTAGAGCATAGGTACTGCTTCAATTATTTGTCAGAGTGTTTAGTAAAGGTCCTTTACAGTACCACTATACATTTGCTTGGGGATGGCTAAGCATGGACTGATGGGCAAGCTCTTGGAAGGGCTTGTGCTTCTTGTATTCTTTTATGCTTTCAAGGAATACCAAATTTTCCTCCTCCCATGTGAGGCACAAAGCAAAATTGGCATTTAGAGGTGGAAGCTGGATTGCCCTCAGGGACTGACCCATAGGGTGTTGAATTTCAGGAAACAGCAGAGAGAGCTCAGTATGACGGATTATTTCAAGCAGTGGGATTTTGAAAAAGAGCCACCGTACAGTCCATATTTGGTTGATGAGAAGACCATCTGAGTGGAAAGGGGACAATCTGGGCCTCTGGCCTACCGTGTATACAAGCACAATAATTGCTTTTATTTAAAGTGAGAATGGAATATTTAATCCATTTCAGCCAGGCATTTGCATCCTGATATTTTGTCTTGATGGTTAAGGTCTGTCTTGATTTTTTATTTTTACAATAAACATCCTAGTTTTATTAGATGTAGGAGTAACCGGTGTGGAACTTAGAACTGAGGCTACTGAAGAAGGGGAAGATGGGAGAAAAATGGGTATTTAAAAAATATCTAGGGGGTCTTTTCCATTTATGTTAATTCCCATACAACAGAATTGACTAAGGGGAGGTCTAGAGTTAGTTAAGGTGGAGGTGGTGATAGAGAGAAGGACAGGGTTACATTGATAAGGTCGACAGTTAGAAGGGGTAGTCCTTTTAGTGAAATAGATGAGGGGTTTTAGATCTGCACAAACCTTTTTCATGGAAGTCTAACTTTGCTTCTCGGTAGTTTATGGGATGTGGTCCCATTCACTACAAGGTTGCCAGGCTGTAGGAGCAGGAAATCAGCATCTTGGCTGCAGGTCATTACAACAAGTGCTTGGGGTAACTGTGTCAATTAGAGGGCTGGAACATAAGTATTTGTGTGAAAAGCCTAGCTGTTGTTGATCTTTTACATTTCCACAAGGTATGACAGAGCAAAGATTAAAGGCAATGATCTGAGGTGAGTCAGACTTAGTTACATTAATAACCAAGGAGCTTGTAAGACAATAATGAAAGGAAAGGAAGCAATATAGAAGATACAAGAAAATTAAACTTTTTTTTTAACTTTAACTTAGTAGGGCTTGATTTTAGTACAGTAACCCATGATTTTGTGAGGCAAGTTTTTTTTGACTTTTGTATGGTGGGTCCATTTTTTACTCATCTGTGAGGATGGCAGTCTTAGTGGTTAACAGCATAAAATAGGGTTCTTCCCAGGATAGCTTGCATTTTTTTTCTTTCTATCTTTTGATGAGAACATGGTTTTTAGGCTGGTGCTGGTGTACTGGAAATTCTAGGGGTGGTACCTGTGCCACTTTTTGTTCTGAACTTTTAGTTCTGAGGGAAGGGAAAGTGGAAGATAAATTAATATATAATTTCTGATGCATATCCTGGGGCTTGAGGCATCATGGTGATGCCCGTTGCGCTATTCCTACTTAGCACCACCCAGGGGACACTGCGACCCTGCCCCTTCTTAATGTTTGGCTTTCCTGTGGCCTTTACCACCCCTACGTGCTATAGCCTTGGGGATGAGGGACCTTGTGACTTACCTGGCCACCTTTAGGCCTAAGAAAACTAAACACCATTTTATATTTGACAATGTTTTTGTATGACTTTATACCAGATAAGTTAAATTTTACCTTTATATTAATGTGCTATTAATGTTAAACTTAATTTTAATAAAATTTTATAGGCATTGTTTATTCAATTTTAATGTCTGACTATAAGGTAAGAATTTTATAGACTCTTTTTAACTTCTTACAATGTTTGTTAAAGAGCAGGTTAGTGCTTTAAGAAAAATTTATTGAGCTTTTATTTTAATGTGCAGTTCACAGATAAACTGGATGATACCCCTTTAACTTTAGCCAGGATGTTTACACACAGAATTTTCTTTACAATTAACATTTTAAAACTTGCTTAAACCTTTAAAACAAACAAAAAAAATGTTTAGCCTTTAATGTAGGTAAAAATCCATATTCTTATGCCTCCTTACAATCCTGTTATTAAAAGTACATTATATTTTTCTTACATACCTTGTACATAAACTGTTTTTTTAAAACACTTTTACATTCAGGAGGACTAATTACTTTTAAATTATACATTTTTTGCATAAATTCCCTTTTATAGTTTTTCTTATGACTTTTACAGACAATCGTTAAGATGTTTTAACTTTCTGCCTTCCTTTTACACTTTTTTCTTGTTTCACCCTCTGTGTCTTCCTTTGATTTATGTCTCTTCCAGTTTTTCTCTTACTCTTTCCCTCTATTTCTCTCTCTCTCATTTGCACTCTATCTTCCTATCTTTCTCTCTATCATCCTGTTTCCCTTTCCTTTCCAGAGTTCTCCCGCTCCTGCTGTGAGCAGGGCCGTCTGTTTCTCCTGTTGTTGTTGGGTTTTTTCCCCCCTATTTCCCTTTTTACTTTTCTTCGTTTGTTTTTACACTTAGTTTCTCTGGCTGGGTGGGTGGGATATGCATGGCTGCTGTCTGGGCCCCAGGCAGTCACCGACCCAGAGGCTTGGCAGATGCCTGCCGCAAATTGCAAGAATTATGCCTTCACCTCCTCTGCTCTCCTCCCAGTGCTGGTCCTCACCCTCTTTTTTACACAGACCCTTGGATTGTCTGCCTGGCTGTTGTTTGGCTCTGTGCTTGCTGTTGTTGCTTTTTGTTCCTCTGACTTCCTCTCCTAGTTTTTGTTTTGTTTTGTTTTTCTTTTTCTTTTCTGCTGATCTTTCTTTTGTCTCTGCCAGCCACCTATGCTGCTGTTTTTCCCTCTCCTTCGCCTTCCACTAGGAGAGAGACCAGCAGGAGTGGAGCTATTCTTTCTTCCCCTGAGAAGAAAGGAAAGGGGGGGTTCTGAATATTTTTCTTGCTACTGGAGGTTTGTTTGAGGTTCAACCCCTGCCATGGGGATTTCTCACCTCTTTCTGAGGTTCAACCCTCCCACCAGGGGGATTTTTCACCACTTTTTGAGGTTCCACACCACCCATAGGGATTTCTCATCTCTTTCTGAGGTTCAGCCCTCGCTCTATGGGGATTTTCTCACTTCTTTTTAACCTCCAGGACAACCTGACTAAGGAATACATTACCTGAAGTTTTTCTCTCCTAACCAAGGAATGCTTTACTGTCCCACAGCTTTTTTTTTTCCTTGGTGGTTGGGACTAATCCTGCGGCTTCTTTTTTCTCACTTTGTGCACAGAGTTATTGCCGCAGTATGTGAGGATCCTTTAAGCTAGGTTGCTGGCCAGTTTCTTTCTTTCTTTTTTTTTTCTTTGCATTGCTGAGAGTCTGGATTTATTTGTAACACTGGGTGGGTCTTAATTTTTCACCCATGAGGAACCTCTACTTACTTTTTACATAGTGAAACTAAGGGGTTTCCATGTGGAGAAGCCTGACTGTCACTGCTGATTTCCTTAAGGGACCAGGGTCTTTTTTGTTTGTTTGTTTTCCCCCTCTTTCCTTTTCAGTCTTTCAGTGGCTCTTTCCTAGTAGCTCCTTGAAGAGTGAGGGCAATTGGCTGGGGTCACTCCCTGCTACTGCCTGAAGGCCTAGGAACAAAGGGAAATAGTCCTTCCTCAAAGTGGGAAGGACTTTTTAAGAATCTTCTCCATGCATGGTCCCTGACGTCCACATGCCACGTAGCTTGGAGCAAACTCTCAGATGTTTTTGATGACTTAAATCTTCTTTTCTTATGCTAAATTCTTACCTTTGCCTATTCAACTGAGAAAGAGCAAAGGAAACCCATGCAATCTCCAGATCCTATCATTAAAGTTCATGGAATGGGAAGCATGGGAAAGTGTGGCCTTATCAATTTATAAAAATCCTAAAAGTTGGGGATTACAACTAGGTACCAAAGGAAAGCGCACAATAGGCTCTGGAGGGAAAGCAGGCAAAGTGGCACTGCTGCCAACCTAAGGTCAGAGATATCTGATACTCTAAGATTGGGCCCCACAGGAGGACACTCGGTACTCTTTGGCCCCAGTGCTCCTTGGAGTCTGGGGAGGTTTAGCCTTTAAAAATCAAACTGCTATGGAGACTCCTTTACCCAAAATTTTCATTCAGAACCTTCCTTGGATTACCTCTTGGAGCAAAGTAAAACTGGCAAGGTTATATTGCTATCTCATGGTGAAGGTTCCAAGCTATTGGACCCCTTTATAAGTAAAAGAGCGCTCATAAATTAAGTAAATAAGTCTAAGCAGTTTTCAAGTTTACTTGACCTGAGTATAATTTTACTGAACAAGCTACCTTTAAAATTATTGGTGGAGTGAAAATAGAAATGTCTTTCAAATAGCATACATTTTGTCTGAATTTTATGTTTGTCTTTGCTAGATATTTTTAAATGTCAGTGTTAATTCAAGATGGGAGATGCTAGGGGTGAATCTGTCTCCCATTCTATTCAAAGTCCCACTGAGATAAATGCATATCTGATTGTTTCCTTTGGAAAGGCAACCAGAAACTCAAAAGAATACATTCGCTTTTCTCCTGCCTATGATCTAAAAGACCCCAAGTCCCCTCCCTGTCTTGAGTTGTCCCACCTTTCCAGACCAAACCAATGTTCATTTTACACTTGTTAATTGATGTTTCATGTCTCCCTTGATAAAAGTAAAAATTACAGTGAATTAGAAAAATGTTTTAGGTAAACCTTTTGTGTAAATTAAAATCTTAAAGTTATTTCTGACGCTCATTTAGTATCTGGGTCATTTCCAATTAAGAAACGGTTGTGATCTGGAACATGTTTCTAACATTGTGTGGAATTGTTCTTATCTATAAATGTCAGGTCTGATAGTTCAGGATTTCTTACTTTTTAAGGTTTCACTAAACTTTTATGTTACTAGGTATAAAATTCTAACTAATATGTAATTCTGTGTACAAACTGTGCCAGAAAGGGTTATGTTATTAGTAAAAAAAAAAAAAAAAAAAAAAAAAAAGAATTTTGTCTAATTCAGAGGTTATCTAAAAGTTCAAATTACAGATATGAAAAGGTTATTTATAAAAACAATGTAGTAATAAATCATTAAGCAGGGGAGAAAGATGTGGAAACAGTTTAAATAATAAAATGTTCTTTAACACAAGATAAAGAATTGGAGACATTTCACTAATTAACATTTTCATACTTAAAGCTCTTAGTCTTGATTAAAGTAAAATAAGAAGTATTGTAAAAATGCATCAGCAGTTTGGCAATTCTTTTTTTAATATAGTTAAGCATGAAGTTGGATTTAGTGTAAAGCCAAATTTCACATACATGCCTGCATTGCTTCACACTATCTTTACTATTTTGCATGGATAGTGCTAGAGAGTAGCAGGACAAGCTGCAGACAAAACTCCTCAGACACCGAGTTAAAGAAGGAAGAGGTTTATTCAGCTAGGAGTATTGGCAAGACTCCTGTCTCAAGAGCCAAGCTCCCCAAGTGAGCAATTCCTGTCCCTTTTAAGGGCTCACAACTCTAAGAGCGTCCATGTGAGAGGATCGTGATTGATTGAGCAAGAGGGGGTACGAGCCTGGGGGCTGCATGCACTGGTAATCATATCAGAACAGAACAGGACAGGGATTTTCACAGTGCTTTTCCATACAATGTCTGGAATCTATAGATAACATAACCAGTTAGGTCAGGGGTCAATCTTTAAATACCAGGCCCAGGGTGCAGTGCCAGGCTGTCTGCCCTTGGATTTCATTTCTGCCTTTTAGTTTTTACTTCTTCTTTCTTTGGAGCCAGAAATTGGGCATAAGACAATATGAGGGCTTGTCTCCTCCCTTAAGAGTACTTACTGGTCATGTGCTGAAAGTGGATTTCTTGATTGCATAGGATGTATAATGATATCGGTGAAATTAAGTATATTGAATTGTGTATCAGGAATAAAATATTCATCACGCAGGTATTGGGGGGTCCCTAGATAACACTGTAACCTCCAGGGTAAAATGAGTATGAAAATGTAGGATTTTTTTGGTATATTTGTTTTTTGCTTGTAGTTTTCATTCATTTGCTGTTTGTTCTCCTCTGGCTTTGCTTGTGTATCCATACGTGTACAACCATGCTAGTGAAAGACTTTTATTTGGTACTATGAACAGTTATTTTGTTTCCTACTTCTAGAAATTAGTTGTTCATTCCATTTATCTGGAATTCCTAAGCTACCTTTGTTAGGCTGCAGGAATTAATGGAGCATGCCAGCTTTCTATCCTTAAACTAACTTTTTGGGTTTTAGGCTTCCTGATACATTAAGTCTGTTAATATACTCTCATAAATAGAATTTTAGTCATAGTTCTCTCTCTCTGCCTAATTTATCCAACATTTGTAAACTGTTGGTGAATATTCTTAATTGATAGCAATGTGTTTCTTTGCATACAGCAGGTTCAGTAGAGGGGCTCAGGGAGAGAGAACCCAGAAACCTGACATGTGGGAAAAAGTGTAAGAATTTCTTACCAACCAGTCTCTGGCCTCTTTCTGTCTGTGCAAACTGGTTAATCTCCTCTGTGAAGTTTTAAAGTTATTGGTTTAATGAGAAGAACAACTTAAATAAAATATTTTGTCAGAAAAATAGAAAATATAATGCCTTTTAGTTCATGTGACTTTAGCAATCTTTGGGAAATAAAGATGATTTTCAAGATTATTGGTAAAATACAAATATCTTCAAAATGTAAACATGTGGTCTAAATTATGTTCCAATGTTAGGTTTGCTGAGGTCATAAACTGCTTCTTTTGCTTTTGAAAATTGTTTAACTTGCCTGCTTTCCATTAGGCAAAGCCTAGATGTTTTTTATTGGGAACATGTGGAGTTGGCCATGCCCCTAGCTATGCTGGAAACAGTGAAACTTTATCAGAACATAACTTATCAGGTCTAATGTTAAAATTAGTCATTATAACACACAATTAAGACTACTGGAAACAGTTTTACATGCAAGGTGTGTAAGAACAGTAGAATATGTGTGTCTGTTTTCAAGATTAGTAAAGGCTTTTGCTTCTTTAAAATTTCTGAGTCATTGTTTTGGCAAAATAAGTAATTTATGGTAATATGGAATTTCAAAATTAAATTTCATTTTCAGAATTGTCTTTCCTAATGCCTGGCTTTCTGGATGAATTAGAAGGCCCCTGAAAACATCCAGAAAAATGATAAACAAGATTATTTGATGTGTTTACATACATGGATTGCCAAAATGATGTTCAGTCTTCTTTAGGTTATATTTTTGTGAATAATACTAACATATATTCCTAAATTGTATGGGATTTCTAAAATTCTAATGTCTAAGTATGTGCTATCAATTATAATTATGGTTACTATGTTAAGTTGTTGTAAACCATAAAAAAAAATTCCTTGTCAGTGCTATGCATCTAATTTGGAAAAACAACTGGTATTCAAGCGTATATGTCTAATGTTAATTAAGCATGGCCTTATGGAGAACCAGGATGGCTACCATGTTCTTCCTGATGTCTTAAAGCATTTATTATTAAAAGTTCTGCATTGGGCCGGGTGCAGTGGTCACACGTGTAATCCCAGCACTTTGAGAGGCTGAGGACGGTAGATCACCAGATCAGAAGTTCAAGACCAAGGTGGTGAAACTCTGTCTCTACTAAAATACAAAAATTAGCCAGACATTATGGTGGACACCTGTAATTCCAGCTACTCAGGAGGCAGAGAATTGCTTGACCTGGGAGGTGGACGTTGCAGTGAGCCGAGATCGCAACACTGCACTCCAGCCTGGGTGGCAGAGCAAGACTCAAAAAAAGAAAAAAAGTTCTGCACTACATGACTCATTATGGGAAAGATATAATGATCCAAATTGAGTACATTGGTTTAGTGACTTACAAATTACCAAAATAATGTATAACAAATGCTTGATCCTGTATTCCTGGGAAAACAATTATAGCTTCAGGTACATTTGATAACCTGGTGGGCCATTTAAACATTTTATAAAAGGATTTCATACAATTGCTATTTTCAGTGCATTTTTTTCTGGTTGTATAAAAGCTTTCCTATGCAAGAGGGTTGATGTTATAATAATGAATTATTATGCTACAGTATATTTTCACCAGGTAAAAAAGCTTTTTTTGGTTTGGATCTTCTGAAAATATCAGAGGAAGACTGTCCTTGCCATCCACTCTACAACAAAACTTCAGGACCTTGAACTTTGGGTTTGTAATCTGACAGCTGAGAAGGGTCCCTCCATGCTCTTGGAGCTTGGCACCCATTAGAACTGTTGAGGTAAAGCTAACCAGGGAAATTTCTCCCAAGAAGAAGATGGCATCATTGATGTGCCTAGCTTTCCCAAGTTCACAGATTAAGGCTTTTACTGTCATGAAACTTTTATCTTTGAATATTTTTTCTTGCTTATGCCTCTACTGCATTTCATAACAATAGAAGTAGAAAGCATTCTGTTATGTGCATTTATGGGGTGTTCTTGTGAAGGAGTTTGCATCCAGCCTTATACATGAATAAATTTATACTTCGATAGATAAAAGATGAAGACCTAATGTAGGTAAGAAAGTTTAATGGTACATGTATTGTCTCATAATCAATCAAAAACAAAACTTCGCTCACTCCTCTTAACCCACATCATGAGTTAATCAGAACATTACCAGGAGGCCTTCACTATTCTAAAAGGGCAACATTTGTTAGGTCCTTTTCCATGATTTAAAATAAAAGAAGCAATGGGGTACAGTGGCTCAAGCCTGTAATCCCAGCACTTTGGGAGTCCAAGGCAGGTGGATCATGAGGTCAGGGGATCGAGACCATCCTGGCTAACACAGTGAAACCCCATCTCTACTAAAAAAAAAAATACAAAAAAGTTAGCCGGGCTTGGTGGCGGGCACCTGTAGTCCCAGCTACTCAGGAGGCTGAGGCAGGAGAATGTTATGAACCCAGGAGGTGGAGCTTGCAGTGAGCTGAGATTGCACCACTGCAGTCCAGCCTGGGCAACAGAGCGAGATTCTGTCTCAAAAAAAAAAAAAAAGAAATGTATCCTCATTATAGGCTCTATAACACATTCTACTGTAAAGATTGTGGCTACACAACAGACTTTAAATTCTCTTATAAAAGTTATGCTAAATAATAGAATTGGCAGCTGTGCAGCTGCTGGCACTTGTGGCCTATGGAGAAATGCATCAAATGAAGATTACAGATATTCAGTGGTAGGGGATTAACAAAAAGACTGCTTAGTTAAGCAAATAAATTCTTTATTTAGCTCATTCTTTGATCTATTTTATCTTAAGCGGTCTAGTTTGTGGGGACCTTAGGTAAAGAGCATACTCCAACGTCTTGGTATTATCCTCCCAATAGTCATACTAATAGTCTCCCTGATGTGCTGTGTTCTCTCAAAGGCTTTAAATGCTTGCCTGCAGCCATCTCTAGAAGGTCAAATGGTCTCTCTTCAACTGGAATGACAAGAGCTGAAAGAAATCTGCAACCATGAGGACACTATAACCTATAAGTGACATTCTGAGACTGGAAACCCAAAATGATGGTAACAGAGTGGTGCTAAGACCTTAAGTTTTGGTTACACTTTTACCTAACTGAGAATCTGACCAAAAAGGGGGAATTTTTTAAACAAAGTTCTGGGAGGCTATTGCTTTAGACTAAGCTCATGCATCAGGCCTTAACAAACAAAACAAAACCAAAATGGAGTCATTTATGCTAAGACTTTAAGGAAACATATAGATGTTAGAACAAACCAAGTTTTGGTTTTCTCCTGCAAGTCTCTATAACAAACATTCTTGACAGCATAAGTATCCACCCCCTGAAATTCCCGTTAAAACTGTTAACAAAATTTATTTCCTCTTGCCTAGAGACCATCAAGTTTCAGATGATCATGAAACAAAGGGTCCAGCTACTGCCAGGTGAAGACAACACCCCAGCCATTGAAAAGCTACCCTGCCTCCACTTGATAGGGCAGAGTGAGAGTTCTGTGATCCCCAATAGTTAGGGACTATGCCCAAAGCCAGCATGAAGCAGTTACAGAAAAAAGAGCAATGGTCCCTATGGCTCTCATAAATATTTATAGGGATCACATCCTTCAGAGGGGAGATGAGGCAGGAAAATAGAGTCTGGAGGCAGGGAACACAAGGCCAATTCACACTTCAGCTATGACAGAAAATATCCTTTCTGTAGGGCGTACGCAGTATAAATGACTGTAACATTTTCTCATCCTCTTCATTTACATAGGGTATACAGCAAGTAGAGGGCATTGAAACTGACAAAAACTCTAACAGGGCCTTTGAGCCCCTATGCTCAGGCCTGCTCCCACACTGTGCAGTGTACTCCCATTTTTCAATAAATCTCTTCATTCCTTCCTTGCTTTGTTTGTGCATTTTGTCCAATTCTTTGTTCAAATGCCAAGAACCTGGACACCCTCCACCATTAAAAACATGATAAACAAAGTGTGGTATATAAATTCCATATGATATTAATCCTTTAAAAGGAATAAAATTCTGATACATGCTGTACCCAGATAATACACTAAGTGAAATAAATCAATCACAAAAAAGAAAATACTGTGTAATGTCACTTATATGTGCTACTTAGAGTAATCATGATGAGAGGCAGAATGTAGAATGGTAGTTGCCATGATATGGAGAATGGAGAGTTACTGTTTATTGTACAGTTTCAGTTTTGCAAAATGAAAAGTTGTAGAAATGGCACCTGGAAAATCAGGTCACTCCCACCATAATACTGCACTTTTCCAATGGTCTTAGCAAACAGCACACCAGGAGATTACATCCGGCACCTGGCTCAGAGGGTCCCACACCCATGGAGCCTTGCTCATTGCTAGCACAGCAGTCTGAGATCTAACTGTAAGGGAGCAGCAAGGCTGGGGGAGGGACACATGCCATTGCTGAAGCTTGAGTAGATAAACAAAGTGTCCAGGAAGCTCAAACTGAGAGGAGCCCACTGCAGCTCAAGGAGGACTGCCTGCCTCTGTAGACTCCACCTCTGGGGGCAGGGCATAGCTGAACAAAAGGCAGCAGAAACCTCTGCAGACTTTAATATCCCTGTCTGACAGTTTTCAAGAGAATAGTGGTTCTCCCAGCATGGAGTTTGAGATCTGAGAACGGGCAGACTGCCACCTCAAGTGGATCCCTGAGACCCCTGAGTAGCCTAACTGGGAGGCACCCTCGAGTAGGGGCAGACTCACACCTTACATGGCTGGGTACCCCTATGAGATGAAGCTTCCAGAGGAAGAATGAGGCAGCAACATTTGCAGTTCAGCAATATTCACTGTTCTGCAGCCTCCGCTGCTGATACCTAGGTAAACAGGGCCTGGAATGGACCTCCAGCAACTCCAACAGACCTGCAGCTGGGGCTCTTGATGGTTAGAAGGAAAACTAACAAACAGAAAGGACATCCACACCAAAACCCCATCTGTACATCACCATCATCAAAGACCAAAGGTAGATAAAACCACAAAGAAGGGGAAAAAAACACAGCAGAAAAGCTGAAAATTCTAAAAATCAGAGCACCTCTCCCCCTCCAAAGGAACACAGCTCCTCACAGCAATGGAACAAAGCTGGATGGAGAATGACTTTGACGAGTTCAGAGTAGAAGGCTTCAGACAATCAAACTTCTCCAAGCTAAAGGAGGAAGTTCGAACCCATTGCAAAGAAGCTAAAAACCTTGAAAAAAGATTAGACAAATGGCTAACTAGAATAACCACTGTAGAGAAGTACTTAAATGACCTGATGGAGCTGAAAACCATGGCACAAGAACTACGTGATGAATGCACAAGCTTCAGTAACCAGTCAATCAACTGGAAGAAAGGGTATCGGTGATTGAAGTTCAAATGAATGAAATGACATGAGAAGAGAAGTTTACAGAAAAAAGAGTAGAAAGAAACAAACAAAGCCTCTAAGAAATATGGGACTATGTGAAAAGACCAAATCTACATCTGATTAGTGTACCTGAAAGTGACGGGGAGAATGGAACCAAGTTGGAAAACACTCTGCAGGATATTATCCAGGAGAACTTCCCCATCCTAGCAAGGCAGGCCAACATTCAAGTTCAGGAAATACAGAGAATGCCACAAAGACACTCCTCAAGAACAGCAACTCCAAGACACATAATTGTCAGATTCATCAAAGTTGAAATGAAGGAACACATCTTAAAGGCAGCCACAGAGACAGGTCAGGTTACCCATAAAGGAAAGCCCATCAGACTAATAGCGGATATCTCGGCAGAAACTCTACAAGCCAGAAGAGAGTGGGGGCCAATATTCAACATTCTTAAAGAAAGAGTTTTCAACCCAGAATTTCATATCCAGCCAAACTAAGCTTCGTAAATGAAGGAGAAATAAAATCCTTTACAGACAAGCAAATGCTGAGATTTTGTCACCACAAGGCCTGCCCTAAAAGAGCTCCTGAAGGAAGCACTAAACATGGAAAGGAACAACTGGTACCAGCCACTGCAAAAACATTCCAAAATGTAAAGACCATCGATACTAGGAAGAAACTGCATCACCTGATGAGCAAAATAACCAACTAACATCATAACGACAGGATCAAATTCACACATAACAATATTAACCTTAAATGTAAATGGGCTAAATGCTCCGATTAAAGGACACAGTCTGGCAAATTGGATAAAGAGTCAAGACCCATCAGTGTGTTGTATTCAGGAGACCTATCTCATGTGCAGAGACACATATAGGCTCAAAATAAAGGGATGGAGGGAGATCTACCAAGCAAATGGAAAACAAAAAAGGCAGGAGTTGCAATCCTAGTCTCTGATAAAACAGACTTTAAACCAACAAAGATCAAAGAGACAAAGAAGGCCATTACATAATGGGAAAGGGATCAATTCAACAAGAAGAGCTAACTATCCTAAATATATATGCACCCAATCAAGAGTAGTCAGATTCATAAAGTAAGTCCTTAGAGACCTACAAAGAGACTTAGACTCCCATACAATAATAATGGGAGACTTTAACACCCCACTGTCAACATTAAACAGATCAACGAGACAGAAAGTTAACAAGGATATCCAGGAATTGAACTCAGCTCTGCACCAAGCAGACCTAATAGACATCTATCTACAGAACTCTTCACCCCAAATCAACAGAATATACATTCTTCTCAGCACCACACTACACCTATTCCAAAATTGACCACATAGTTGGAAGTAAAGCATTCCTCAGCAAATGTAAAAGAACTCAAATTATAACAAACTGTCTCTCAGACGACAGTGCAATCAAACTAGAACTCAGGATTAAGAAACATTCAAAACCGCTCAGCTACATGAAAACTGAACAACCTGCTCCCGAACGACTACTGGGTACATATCAAAATGTAGGCCGAAATAAAGATGTTCTTTGAAACCAATGACAACAAAGACACAACATACAAGTATCTCTGGGACACATTTAAAGCAGTGTGTAGAGGGAAATTTATAGCCCTAAATGCCCACAAGAGAAAGCAGGAAAGATCTAAAATTGACACTCTAACATCACAACTAAAAGAACTAGAGAAGCAAGAGCAAACACATTCAAAAGCTAGCAGAAGGCAAGAAGTCAGTAACATCAGAGCAGAACTGAAGGAGATAGAGACACAAAAAACCCTTCAAAAAAATCAATGAATCCAGGAGCTGATTTTTTGAAAAGATCAACAAAATTGAGACTGCTAGCAAGACTAATAAAGAAGAAAAGAGAGAAGAATCAAATAGATGCAATAAAAAATGATAAAGGGGATATCACCACCGATCCCACAGAAATACAAACTACCATCAGAGAATACTATAAACACCTCTACACAAATAAACTAGAAAATCTAGAAGAAATGGATAAATTCCTCAACACATACACCCTCCCAAGACTAAACCAGGAAGAAGTTGAATCCCTGAATAGACTAATAACAGGCTCTGAAATTGAGGCAATAATCAATAGCCTACCAACCAAAAAAAGTCCTGGACTAGACACATTCACAGCTGAATTCTACCAGAGGTACAAAGAGGAGCTGGTACCATTCCTTCTGAAACTATTCCAATCAATAGAAAAAGAGGGAATCCTTCCTAACTCATTTTATGAGGCCATCATCATTCTGATACAAAAGCCTGGCAGAGACACAACAAAAAAAGAGAATTTTAGACCAATATCCCTGATGAGCATCAATGCAAAAATCCTCAATAAAATACTGGCAAACAGAATCCAGCAGCACATCAAAAAGCTTATCCACCATGATCAAGTGGGCTCCATCCCTGGGATGAAAGGCTGGTTCAACATATGCAAATCAATAAATGTAATGCAGCATATAAACAGAACCAAATACAAAAACCACATGATTATCTCAATAGATGAAGAAAAGGCCTTTCAGAAAATTCAAAAGCGCTTCATGCTAAAAACTCTCAATAAATTAAGTATTGATGGGACATATCTCAAAATAATAAGAGCGATCTATGACAAACCCACAGCCAATATCATACTGAATGGGCAAAAACTGGAAGCATTCCCTTTGAAAAAATGGCACAAGACAGGGATGTCCTCTCTCACCAGTCCTATTCAACATAGTGTTGGAAGTTCTGGCCAGGGCAATCAGGTAGGAGAAAGAAATAAAGTGCATTCAATTAGGAAAATAGGAAGCCAAATTGTCCCTGTTTGCAGATGACATGATTGTGTATTTAGAAAACCCCATTGTCTCAGCCCAAAATCTCCTTAAGCTGATAAGCTGCTTCAGCAAAGTCTCAGGATACAAAATCAATGTACAAAAATCACAAGCATTCTTATACACCAACAACAGGCAAACAGAGAGCCAAATCATGAGTGAACTCCCATTCACAATTGCTTCAAAGAGAATAAAATACCTAGGAATCCAACTTACAAGGGATGTGAAGGACCTCTTCAAGGAGAACTACAAACCACTGTTCAATGAAATAAAAGAGGACACAAACAAATGGAAGAGCATTCCATGCTCACGGGTAGGAAGAATCAATATTGTGAAAACGGCCATACTGCCCAAGGTAATTTATAGATTCAATGCCATCCCCATCAAGCTACCAATGACTTTCTTCACAGAATTGGAAAAAACTACTTTAAAGTTCATATGGAACCAAAAAAGAGCCTGCATTGTCAAGACAATCCTAAGCAAAAAGAACAAAGCTGGAGGCATCACACTACCTGACTTCAAACGATACTACAAGGCTACAGTAACCAAAACAGCATGGTACTGGTACCAAAACAGAGAGATAGACCAATGGAACAGAACAGAGCCCTCAGAAATAATACCACACATCTACAACCATCTGATCTTTGACAAACCTAACAAAAACAAGCAATGGGGAAAGGATTCCCTATTTAATAAATGGTGCTGGGAAAACTGGCTAGCCATATGTAGAAAGCTGAAACTGGATCCCTTCCTTACACCTTATACAAAAATTAATTAAAGATGGATTAAAGACTTAAATGTTAGACCTAAAACCATAAAAACTCTAGAAGAAAACCTAGGCATTACCATTCAGGACATAGGCTTGGGCAAGGACTTCATGTCTAAAACAGCAAAAGCAATGGCAACAAAAGACAAAATTGATAAATGGGATCTAATTGAACTAAAGAGCTTCTGCACAGCAAAAGAAACTACCATCAGAGTGAAAAGGCAACCTACAGAATGGGAGAAAATTTTTGCAATCTACTCATCTGACAAAGGGCTAATATCAAGAATCTATAAAGAACTCAAACAAATTTACAAGAAAAAAACAAACAACCCCATCACAAAGTGGGAGAAGGATATGAACAGACACTTCTCAAAAGAAGACATTTATGAAGCCAAAAAACACATGAAAAAATGCTCATCATCACTGGCCATCAGAGAAATGCAAATCAAAACCACAATGAGATACCATCTCACACCAGTTAGAATGGCGATCATTAAAAAGTCAGGAAACAACAGGTGCTGGAGAGGATGTGGAGAAATAGGAACAGTTTTACACTGTTGGTGGGACTGTAAACTAGTTCAACCATTGTGGAAGTCGGTGTGGTGATTCCTCAGGGATCTAGAACTAGAAATACCATTTGACCCAGCCATCCCATTACTGTGTATATACCCAAAGGACTATAAATCATGCTGCTATAAAGACACATGCACACATATGTTTATTGTGACACTATTCACAATAGCAAAGACTTGGAAGCAACCCAAATGTCCATCAATGATAGACTGGATTAAGAAAATGTGGCACATATACACCATGGAATACTATGCAACCATAAAAAAGGATGAGTTCATGTCCTTTGTAGGAACGTGGATGAAGCTGGAAACCATCATTCTCAGCAAACTATTGCCAGGACAGAAAACCAAATACCACATGTTCTTACTCATAGGTAGGAACTGAACAATGAGAACACCTGGACACAGGAAGGGAAACATCACACACCAGGGCCTGTCATGGGGTTGGGGGAGGTTGGAGGGATCACATTTGGAGATATACATAATGTAAATGATGAATTAATGGGTGCAGCACACCAACATGGCACATGTATACATATATAACAAACCTGCACGTTGTGCACGTGTACCCTATAACTTAAAGTATTATAAAAAATAAAATAAAATAAAATAAGTCATATGAAGAGGCCCAATTGATTGGCAACTAGTTATAGACTATGTTCTCTTCTCAGAGAAAAGACACTACACATTCTGTTCCCACTTAATGAAAAGAAAAGTACCTGCTTCTAGCATAAAGCCACAGAAAGATGTGAGGAGAAAAAATAATTCTTGGGCATTTATATCTCATCCAGTTACTCCACAGAATCTTGTCACTGATGTACTGTATAATTATTGTATCTTATTTTATACCACAAGTTTTCTGTGAAAGATCAGAAATCCAAAGGCTTAGTAAAGAATGCTCACATTTTCAAAATAACTATTTCTTTTCAGGGAAAAAACTGGGAAGGGAATCACATGGTGCATATTATCTTCTGGTCATAGAAAATCTGTTTTAGAGGCAGTTTCTTGAATCTTTACATCATGAGTAAATAAACCACTGAAATCAACCAGAATGAGGCCTTTTCCTTTTTGCAAAAGTTATTACAGTATTTCGAGGGAGAAATTCTGCATAAAAACTAGACAGGTTTTCTTTTTCTTTCATTTTGAACACTGTGATGAAAGTCTGGGAGTTGGTTCTTGTTTTTAAATTCATCTCATCCTCCTTTAGATATTATTGCATATCTGATACCATTATTATACACTCCTCCATCTTCCCTAATTCTCCTCTCACCCATGTTGGGATGATTTGCCTCTCACAGTCATTCCATGAGCTTGGAAAGACCCAGCTGGCTACCAGAACAACTGTTTCCACCTTCCAACAAATCCCTGGCATCTAAGTTCAGTTGCGCTTTGACTTCTCCAGGTAGACTTCACAGCAGGGGCAGGTTGATAAAAGAAAGCCATGGCTGTTAAGGCTACTTCTAGACTTGAGGGAGCATCTTACCCACTGCTACTCCCCAACTCTATTCCACTTATTAGACAAGGATATCTCCTCATTTACCTCTTTGGACTTACTCTTCTTTATATACTCATTTCCTGATTAAACTTTATCTATGAATGAACACAAAAACTCAATCAAATGAAGAAGCATTTTACACTTTTTGGAAATAACTAATGTTTTAGTAGTAGAAAAATACAGCATAGAAGCATACTGGTACTATTTATATATTAATAATAAACCAAATATTATTGGTCACATATGATTAACAATGGAAAGCATTTATGAAGTACATGTGACAAATATAAAAACAACAAAATTAAGTGGCACCAGACCCTAACTAGCCCCAAAAAATACTGAAAAAGAAATCCAAGAGAACTCATATTTCTTGATTGCAATAATTGCTACCAGGCTAGAGTAGTATCTATCTAATAGTGGAAGTTAGAGTTCAAAAATTAAGGTATATATTTCTACCCAATTCATGTTCATAAGGTAGCTGAAACCGTGGAATGAAGAGTTTCAACTTATGGTTCTGAAAAAATTCACATGCAAAAAAGAATAAAGTTAGAATTCTATCTCAACCTATATACAAAAATTAAATCAAAATAGATCAACAACATTGACCGCTAAAAGCACAAAATTCTTAAAAGAAACTTCAGTAGTAAACATTCATGGTATTGGATTTGGCAACAGGTTTTTATACATGACACCGACATCACAGAAACAAAAGAAAAAAACAATAGAAAAACTAGACTACATCACAATTTAGAACTTTCATGTATCAAAGGACACTACCAAGAGACTGAAAGTACAACTCACAGAAGGAAAAACAACTTACAAATCCCATGTCTGATGAGGGTTTAATATTAAATACATGATTGCCATTTACAATTCAACAACAAAAAGACAAACCAACTAAAAGTGGGGAAAGGACTTGAAGAGACCTTTCTCCAAAAATAATTTACAAACAGTTGATAAGTGTATAAAAAAGATGCTTAATGGTGGTAGTAATTAGAATGAAAAAGCGAATCAAAACCACAGTGTAATACCACTTCACAATGACTAGGTAATAGTGTTAACAAAGATGAAGAGGAATTGGACCCCTCAATCATTACTACTGTGCAGTCCCTGTGGCAAACTCTTTGACAGCGCTTCAGAAAGTTAAACAACATATTATGAAGCAATCACACACCTGGATATGTAACTCTGCTCCCAGAAGTAGTAAAACGGGTGTTTTTTGTTTCTGTTTTTGAGACAGAGTCTCGCTTGTTTTTTTGTTTCTTTTGTTGTTGTTGTTGTTGTTGTTTTTAAGATGGAGTCTGGCTCTGTCTCCCAGGCTGGAGTGCACTGGTGTGATCTCAGCTCACTGCAGCCTTCGTCTTCTGGGTACAAGCAATTCTCCTGCCTCAGCCTCCCAAGTAGCTGGGATTACAGGTGCCTGCCACCTAATACCCAGCTAATTTCTGTATTTTTAGTAGAGACGGGGTTTCACCATGTTGGCCCGGCTGGTCTCGTTCTCCTAACCTTATGATCTGCCCCACTCAGCCTCCCAAAGTGCTGATATTATAGGCATGAACCACCTGGCCTGGCTGTAAAACAGTTATTAAAACAAAAAACTTATCCATTAAAGTTCATATTTGCTTCAGAATGTGAAAAACACCCAAATGTCCAACTCTTAAAAGAATAAACAAAATATGATATATCCATACAGTGAAGTATTGTACAATCAGAAGAAGAAATACAAGTACGGTGTGGTAGTGTATGCCTGTAGTCCCAGCTACTTGGGAGGCTGAGGTGGAAGGATCACTTGTGCACAGGGGATTGAGGCTGCATAAGTGAAGATTACGCCACTGCACTCCACCTTGGGCAACAAAGCAAAAAAAAAAAAAAACGTAAGGCAAGGTGGCTCACACCTATAATCCCAGCACTTTGGGAGGCTGGCGCAGGCAGATCACAAGGTCAGGAGGTCGAGACTAGCCTTAGCAACATGGTGAAACCCTGTCTCTACTAAAAATACAAAAATTAGCTGGACATGGTGGCACACACCTGTAATCCCAGCTACTGAGGAGGCTGAGGCAGGGGAATCACTTGAACCCAGGAGGCAGAAGAGGTTGCAGTGAGCTGAGATCGAGCCACTGCACTCCAGCCTGGGTGACAGAGCAAGACTCAGTCTCAGAAAGAAAAAAAAAAGTGCCAAAGACTTTTACAGATACATCAGCAAAGAAGAAATGCAAATGGTAAATAAGCATATGAAAAAGGTCTTTCATATCATATGTCATCAGGAGAATGCAGGCTAAAATAGTGAGATATCTCTACATACCTATTAGAATGGCCAAAATTCAGAACTCTGAGAACATCAAATGCTGGCAGGGATGTAAAACTCATTTTTTGCTGGCGGGAATGCTAAATTATGGAGGACAGTTTGGCTATTTCTTAAAACATTAAACAGATTTTTTACTATACAATCTAGCAACTGTAGTTCTTGGTATTTATCCACAGAAGCTGGAAACTTACATTCACACAAAACCAGCACATAGACGTTCATACCAGCTTTATTCATAATTATCAAAATGTGGAAGCAACCAAGACATCATTCAGCAGGTAAATAAATAAACAAACAGTGGTACATCCAGACAGTGGAATGTTATTCAGTGCTAAAATAAATAAGCTGTCAAACCATGAAAAGACATGGAAGAACCCAAATACATATTATTATGTGAAAGAAGCCAACAAAAAACATTTACATGCTCTTTGATTCCAACTGTATGACATTCTGGAAAAGATAAAACTATGAAGACAATAAAAAGATTAGTGGCTGCCAGGGGTTAGGTGGGTTGTGGAGATGAATCAATGAGCAGAACATAGAGTGTTTTTAAAGCAATGAAGGACTCTATGTAATACTATACTAATAGATACATGTCATTATATATTAGTCCAAAAGCATAGAACGTGTAAGTCCAAGAGTGAACACTAATGTAAACTACGGGCTTTGAGTGATCATGATGTGTCCATGTAGGTTCAACAGATATAACAAATGTACCACCTCAGTGGGGGATGTTGACAATAGGAGAGGCTATGCATGTGTAGGGGCAGGTGGAATATGGGAAATCTCTGTACTTTGTTTAGATTTTGCTATGAAACTAAAACTGCTCTTAAAAAATTAAATTTTAAAACAGAAAGAAATTCAAACTACAATATTTATAAACCATAATAAACACATTACATAATGTGAAAGACACCACACTCAAAAGGTCTCATATCATATAATTCCATTTATATGGAATATCTAAACATAAATCCTTAACAGAGAGAAAGCAGTTTAGTGGTTGCCAAGAACTTGAGAGCATAAAGAATGGAAAATGACTGCTTATGGGTACAGAATTTTTGGATAATGAAAATGTGTTAAACTCGGTATAGGTGATATTAGCACAACACTGAGAATGCAAAGATGCTGCTGAATTGTGTACACTATCAAAGAGTTAATGGTTAATTTTGTTATGTAAGTTTTACCTCAAATTAAAAAAAAGCAAGATAGCAATATAATAATATGCCTATTAAACACTTTATGCATTTCACATATTGTACATAGCAGAAATTGCAGGGTTTTTTTTCCTGGAGACTAGTAACAAAAACACACTGTGTATAAACCATCTTCACTGAAGTAAATCTAACTGAGGAAACTCACACACAAAACTCACAAGACTGGCATCAAATTTTTATAGTGGCAAATACATATAGCAAAAAATTTACTATTTCAAGTATTTGCATGTGTGCAGTTCAGTAGGATTAGGTATATTCCCAATGTTGTATGACCAGTACAGCTATATCCACATCTTCTTCATCCTCCTCTTTCATCATCCCTACACTCACTAAAAAGTAACTTCCTATTCCTCTTCAGCTGTAACTGTGCTAAGCTCTTTTCCATTTTATTTTTCTACAAACTTGCCTATTCTAGGTACTTGATATATGTGGAGTCATACAGAAGTTTTCCTGGTTTATGTTTGGGTTATTTCATTTGGCATAAAGTCTTCAAGGTTCATTGATGTTGTAACATTATTAGGATTTCATTCTTTTTTATGATTGAATAATATTCTTCTCATTGACTCTATCACATTTTGTCTATCTGTTCATAGGGACCTTTTTGTTTTTCCACCTGACTTTGAAAAATGCTGCTATGAACATTAGTGCAGAAGTATCTTCTTTTATTTATATTTGAGTTCTGAATAACACTGTAATTAGGATCACCAACCCCTCAAAGTGTAAATCTGCATATAATTTGATGCCCCAAAACTTAATTCTAATAGTCTACTGTTAATCAGAAGCTTTACTGATAACATAAACAGTCAATTAATACAACTTTTCTTTATTTTTTGAGACAGAATCTTATTCCATCACCCAGGCTGGAGCGCAGTGACACAATCCCTTCTCATTACAACCTCTGCCTCCCAGGTTCAAATGATTCTCGTGCCTCAGCCTGCTGAGTAACCAAGATTACAGTTGGCTAATTTTTGTATTTTTTAGCAGAGATGGGGTTTCACCCAGTTGCCCAGGCTGGTTTCAAACTCCTGACTTCAAGTTATCCACCCGCCTTGGCATCCCAAAGTCCTGAGATTATAGGCACTATGCAAGCAGGAAGCCAACCTCACTGAAGCCCTGTAAGAAAAAAAAAATCTGTGGCACTCACTCTCAAGAATTCCTTCCTCTCACTTTGGGAGGCTGAGGCTGGCAGATCATGAGGTCAGAAGTTCGAGACAAACCTGGCCAACATAGTGAAACCCCGTCTCTACTAAAAATACAAAAAAATTAGCCAGGCATGTTGGTGGGCACCTGTAATCCCAGCTACTTGGGAGGCTGAGGCAGGAGAATTGCCTGAAACTGGGAGGAGGAGGTTGCTGTGAGCTGAAATCACGCCACTGTACTCCAGCCTGGGCAACACTGTAAGACTCTGTCTCAAAAAAAAAAAAAAGAATTTCTTCTTCTGTCACAGTGTGGCTAGATCATAGTCACAACTTCTCTTTGGGGGAGGAATTTGGGTCGTAGGAAGGGAAACAAGCAGGGCCACTGAAAGCAAGACCACCAACTTGCACCAGACTCTGAAGTACCAAACAAAGACCAAGTGGAGCTCTATTATGAGGATGTACCAAAGCATAGAAAAGGCTATAACACTGCAGACAGCCACCACAGGAAACAGCTAAGCAAAAATGAGCAAAGCAATTCAACTGAAAATTACATATACAGGCCCAAATACAGCATTCATTCTCACAAAAGGTTTGATAGATTTGGAGAATCTCTCATCAGACTGCTTGGAGAAAGTCCTCCCTACACTTAAAAAAAGAAGAAAGAGAAAAAAGCAGTGATGGCTCATGCCTGTAATGCCAACACTTTGGGAGGCCAAGGCAGGTGGATCACTTGAGGTCAGGAGTTCAAAACCAGCCTGGCCAACACAGTGAAACCCCTTTCCTACTAAAAATAGAAAAAATTAATTGGGCATGGTGCCACATTCCTATCATCCCAGCTACTGAGGAGGTTGAGGCAGGAGAATCACTTAAACCCAGGAGATGGAGACTGCAGTGAGCTGATATTATACCACTGCACTCCAACCTGGGCAACAGAGCTTCATCTCAAAAAAAAAAAAAAAGAGAGAGAGAGAACTCTGGGACTGAGGCAAGAGGATCACTTGAGCCCAGTAGTTTGAGACCAGCCTAGGCAACATTAAAAAACCCTGTCTTTACAAAAAATACAAAAAATTATATGGTCATGTTGGTGTGTGTTTGTGGTCCTATCTACTCAGCAGGCTGAGGTGGGAGAATCACCTGAACTAAGGAGGTTGAGGTTGCTTTGAGCTATGATGTTGCCACTGCACTCCAGTCTAGGTGACAGAGTGAGACCCTGTCTCTGTCTCGCTACATAAATATATATTCAATAGATGTATATTTAAAATATACCTATTAAGCAAACATTTCTTAAATCTCAATTCTGGAATTTACAATAAAAAAAAATCACACCTGAACCTCAGTATAAGCACTGCAAAAACAGCATCAATTCTTTTTAAATACCATCTATGATTTCTTCATTAAAATATTTTCTTCAAAATCTAGAAAACAAAAACAAAAATCATACAATTATACAAAGATGATTACAGTCTTCTTGTTGTCTCCAATGCAAAACTAACCATTAGCATTCACAGAAAAGTTACAAATATAGAGAGCAAACAACTTCATAAACATATCTCAAGAGCAAAGATCTCTCCAAACTTTTCTTAAGGGATGTTTACAGGCTTTATGAATGGCAGTAAATCTATGAGACAAATGACCACAAATTCTTGCAAATTGTTTTTTGGAGAAAAAAATGACCATGAGCATCACATGCAGGTACCCTCCTAGGTCTGAGTAGTGCAAAACTGCATTTACAGGAGACCAACAGTCTCAGAGTCTTCAGTCTGAAACATGAAAGGCACACTACCAAGATCTGTCTCACTGCTTCAGTGGTGACAAGGTGTAGCACTGTCCCTTAGCCCTCAAACATGTGCATCTCACTGAGACTTTTCTACATTACCATGAACCTCCCATGACACAATTCCCCTTATTGGCGCCTACATCTTCCTGAATATCTGTCTGCAAAGCCAGGTGCCAGCATGTTCTGCAGGGCATAGCTTTTTACAGTGGAGCAATAGGCCAGCCAGCCTGGGGAGCTGCAGGAGCCTGTTCACAGCCAACTCGCTTGAGTTTGAAAGTCAGTGTTACTGATATCCCAGAAGGTATGTTACTCAGCTGATACAACCCCAGTGAGAAGCATGCCACATGCATCTTTCAGTTGTCACAGTGAAACGGAGGCCTTCCCAGCCAGGTGGAACTGTGAGTCCATTAAACTTCTTTCCTTTATAAATTATCTAGTCTTAGGTATTTCTTTACAGCAATGAGACTCCATCAGTGGCGCCAATACTTAAAGGCTGCCTTCTGTGAGTCATCATTTGTTACTCAAAGCAATGGAGCAGCAACAGTGCTAGGTGTCTTTCAAACCCCTGCTTCCTTTTCATCTTTCGCCCCCAGAGATATCACACTTCTCAGTCTCCTTTGCAGATAGGTGGGACCATGTGAGTGGGTTCTACACAGTGGAATGTGGGCAGATGCCATATATACCCCTTCCAGGCTTGTCCCGTAGGCTTCTGGCAGAATGCTTCATGACTTCTCTCTTCCCTTGCCTGCAGGCTGAAAGCAAAGGGCCCAGTGGAGGATGGCAAAGCCTCATAAGACAGAAAAGCCACACCACAGAAAAGCCTGGGACCCTGAATGACTGTGTGAACCAGAGAGTCTTGAAAGCCATTCCCATAACTGTACTTAACTGACATGAACAAGACACATCTCTTAAGTGGCTGAGATTTTGATTGCTAGAGTAGTTAGTTGGCTAACATGCTTAAAGATGTGGACAAAGAAATAAATTAACGGAAATCTGGAGGTTTTAATTTCATTTGACATAAGCATCTCTAGTGATTCAAACAAAGTTAACTAAGTATATATAGCAATCAAAACAACACAAAGTCCAGGAGACTCTGTGAAAAACAACAGAAAGTATCACATACCATCTACGCTATAATTCATGTAATAAATATCAGTTTCTATATAGAGAAAGGCTTCTTTACTGAAAGGGTGTGGTTATTAGATTTGTGAAGACATTTTATTTAGATTGAAGCCTTATTTAGAGAGGATTAAATGGTTTTTCCCTCCTATACTACATGGTATCTTAGGCATAATGGGTAAGACCAACCATATTCTTATTTTCATAATGTCATATTTCTATTATAAACATCACTTTCCACTTTATTAGGTAATTATTATTTTACATTACTACCTCCTCTATTAGTCTGTGAGTCCCTTAAAGAAAAGACTGTTGCTCCTGTAATTCACTTTCTTAACCCAGAGCCTTAGAAAACAAAACGCTATTTGATAAATTAAACAGGCCAATTACAGAAATTGATACTACAGAAGAATTAAATGGAGCCAATTAACAATCAGGAAAAACTTGGAAAGGAAAAATAGGGAGAGAAGGAAGCATTTTTAATTTGACTGAGACCAGAGCGCTTTGATTATTTTAAAAAAACAAGTCAGGGCACTCAGGAGGCTAGGCATTATAGGGTCATTCTTCAGTCACACAGCTCATTTTTTAAAACAGATCTGCCCTTTAAAGAAAAGTAACTCTTCAGGCTTCCAGAGCTTGATGAAACATCCCTGAATACTTCCCCTAGGACTTTTGTTCTGAATTTCAACCTTGTCATCTACAATCTGGTTTCCTGAATGTGGGTCTGCACACCAGAGAGGGAATGTCTAGAGAAAACAGAGACACAAGATCTTTGCAAGATGTTCTATCTCCAGCAAAGAATAAACTATTCTAAGAAAATCAGTCTCACACATACTCAGGAAAGTGAACTCAGTGCCACATACCTAAGAGCGGATGAGTCTAATCAAGGACTCTGAACTCTCTTTGGGTAATCAGCCAACTCTGTGTGCTTCCCACCTGAGATAAGGAAAGAAATCTAGGCAAAAATAGAAAAGTTCCAATGTTACCTAGGAAACACCATCCATGAGAAAAATACTAGAAATAAACTATTACTTCCTTAAGGATAATACATACTGCAGTTTGTTTTAAATACTTTACATCCTTCTTACCTTCCTGACAAATTTCAAATGATAAAGTTATGAAAGTTAATGACCGGCTTTTTATTTTTATTATTGCCAAAATGCTAAAAGGAGGTGTAAATATAAAACTTTACAAATACAAATAAAATACAACATTATAATAGTGGGTGCTTAATTCACTACTGAATTTAATTGACAAAAGGAATATTTAAAGGAGGAACATTTATCTAAAATGGGGGCAGTTTTTAACAAATAATTTGGAGAGAAAAAAGATAAATATAGACTAACCACTGATAGAAGTAATTTAAACTAGAATGGGAAAGAGCCATAGTGGCCAGGTAGAGTGAAGAGGTAGAAAATAAGATTCTAGTAGAAAAGGCCATACTGGGAGAGAAGCCAAGATGGCTGAAGAGAAACAGCTCTGCTCAAAGGCAGGTGATTTCTGCATTTCCAACTGAGGTACACAGTTCATCTCACTGGGACTGGTTGGACAGTGGGTATGGCCCACGGAGTGTGGGCTGAAGCCAGGTGGGGCTTCACATTGCCCAGGGAGTGCAAGGGATCAGGGAATTTTCCCCCCTACCCAAGGTAAGCCATGAGAGTCTGAGCCTGAGGAAGCATTCACACTCCAGCCCAGATACTGCACTTGCCTCACAGTCTTTGCAACCTGTAAACTAGGAGATTCCCTCTGATGCCTACCCCACCAGGGTGCTTGGTTTCAAGCACAAAACTGCCCATTGGGCAGACACAGAACTAGCTGCAGGAGCCTTTTTTGTTGTTTTTGTTTGTCCATACGCCAGTGGTGCCTGGAACACCAGTGAGACAGAACTGTTCACTCCCCTGGAAAGGGGGGCTGAAGCCAGGCAGCCAAGTGGTCTGGCTCAGCGGGTCCCACTCCCACAGAGCCCAGCAAACTAAGATCCACTGGTTTGTAATTCTTGCTGCCAGGACAGCAGCAGTCTGAGATCAACATGGGACACTGGAGCTTGGTGGGAGGAGGGGCATCCATCATTGCTGAGGCTTGAGTAGGTGTTTACACCTCACAGTGTAAACAAAGCAGCCAGGAAGTTCAAACTGGGTAGATCCCACTGCAGCTCACCAAGGCTGCTGTGGCCAGACTGCCAAATTTATCCTCTTGGGGAAGGGCATCTCTGAAAAAAAGGCAGCAGCCCCAGTCAAGGGCATATAGATAAAACCCCCATCTCCCTGGGACAGAGCACCTGGGGCAACTGTGGGTGCAGTTTCATCAGACTTAAATGTCCCTGGCCAATGACTCTAAAAAGAGCAGCCGACCTCCCAGCAAAGCATTCAAGCTCTGCTAAGAGTCAGAATGCCTCCTCATGTGGGTCCTAGACCCCCATGTATTCTGACTGGGAGACACCTCCCAGTAGGGGCTAACAGACATCTCAAACAGGAGAGCTCTGGCTGGCATCTGGCAGGTGCCCCTCTGAAGCAAAGCTTCCAGAGGAAAGAACAGGCAGCAATCTTTGCTATTGTACAGCCTCTGCTGGTGATACCCAGCAAACAGGGTAGGGAGTGGACCTCCAGGAAACTCCAGCAGACCTGAAGTAGAGGGGCCTGACTGTTAGAATGAAAACTAACAAACAGAAAAGAATAGCATGTCCACCAGAAGACCCCATCCTAAGGTCACCAACATCAAAGACAAAAAGGTAGATAAATCCACAAACAAGGGGAGAAACCAGTGCAAAAAGGCTGAAAATTCAAAAGACTAGAATGCCTCTTCTCCTGCAAAGGATCACAACTCCTCACCAGCAAGGGAACAAAACTGGATGGAGAATGAGTTTGTTGAATTGACAGAAGTAGGTTTCAGAAGATGGGTAATAAACTCTGAGCTAAAGGAGCATATTCTAACCCAACGCGAGGAAGGTAAGAACATTGAAAAAAGATTAGACGAATTGCTAACTAGAATAATCACTTTAGAGAAAAACACAAATGACCTGATGGAGCAGAAAAACACAGCATGAGAACTTCATGAAGCATACACAAGTATCAATAGCCAAATTGATCGGGTGGAATAAAAGATATCAGTGATTGAAGATCAACTTAATGAAATAAAGTGAGAAGAAAAGATTACAGGAAAAAGAATAAAAAGGAAGAAACAAAGCCTCCAAGAAATACCGGACTATGGGAAAAGACCAAACCTACATTTGATTGCTATACCTGAGAGTGATGGGGAGAATGGAACCAAGTTGGAAAACACTCTTCTGGATATTACCCAGAACTTCCCCAACCTAGCAAGACAGGCCAACATTCAAATTCAGGAAGTACAGAGAACACCACAAAGATATTCCTCAAGAAGAGCAACCCCAAGATACATAATCTTCAGATTCACCAAGGTTGAAATGAAGAAAAAAATGCTAAAGGAGCCAGAGAGAAAGGTCGGGTAACCCACAAAGGGAAGCCCATCAGACTAACAGTGGATTTCTCTGCAGAAACTTTACAAGCCAGAAGAGAGTGGGGGCCAATATTCAATATTCTTAAAGAAAATAATTTTCAAAGCAGAATTTCATATCCAGCAAAACTAAGCTTCATAAGTGAGGGAGAAATAAAATCCTTTACAGAAAAGCAAATGCTGAGGGATTTTGTCACCACTAGACCTGGCTTACAAGAGCTGCTAAAGGAGGCACTAAATATGGAATGCAACAACCAGTACCAGCCACTGCAGAAACATGCCAAACTGTAAGATCATCAATGCTAGGGAAAAACTTCATCAACTAATGGGCAAAATAACCAGCTAATACTATAATGACAGGATCAAATTCACACATAACAATATTAACCCTAAACATAAATGGGCTAAATGCCCCCAATTAAAAGACACAGACTGGCAAATTGGATAAAGAGTCAAGACCCATTGGTGTGCTGTATTCAGGAGACCCATCTCACATGCAGAAACACACACAGGCTCAAAATAAAGGGATGGAGGAATATTCACCAAGCAAATGAAAAGGAAAAAAAGTGGGAGTTGCAATGCTAATCTCTGATAAAACAGACTTTAAACCAAAAAAGATCAAAAGAGACAAAGAAGGGCATTACATCATAGTAAAGCAATCAATGCAACAGAAGAGCTAACTATCCTAAATATATATGCACCCAATACAGACACACTCAGATTTATAAAGTGAGTTCTTAGAGACCTACAAAGAGACTTAGACTCCCACACAATAATAGTGGGAGACTTTAACAACGCACTGTCAATGTTAGGCAGATCAATGAGACAGAAAATTAACAAGGATATTCAGGACTTGAACTCAGTCCTGGACCAAACAGACCTGATACACATCTACAGAACTCTCCACCCCAAATCTACAAAATATAAACTTTTTTCAGGACCTCATCACACTTACTCTAAAATTGACCACATAATTGGTCAGCAAATGCAAAAGAAGTGAAATCCTCAGCAAATGCAAAAGAACTGAAACTGTAACAAACTGTATCTCAGACCACAGTGCAATCAAATTAGAACTCAAGATTAAGAAACTCACGCAAAACTTTACAACTGCTTGGAAGCTGAACAACCTGCTGGTGAATGACTACTGGGTAAACAATGAAATGAAGGCAGAAATAAACATGTTCTTTGAAGCAAATGAGAACAAAGACACAACATAACAGAATCTCTGGGACACAATTAAAGCAGTGTGTAGAGGGAAATTTACAGCACTAAATGCCCACAAGAGAAAGCAAATTGACACCCAAACATCAAAATTAAAAGAACTAGAGAAGAGCAAACAAATTCAAAAGCTAGCAGAAGACAAGAAATAACTAAGATCAGAGCTGAACTGAAGGAGATAGAAACACAAAAAACCCTTCAAAAAATCAATGAATCCAGGAGATGTTTTTTTGAAAAAAAAATTAACAAAATAGATAGATCACTTGCCAGACTAATACAGAAGAAAAGAGAAAAATTAAATAGACTCAATAAAAAATGATATAGGAAATATCATCACTGAGCCCTGGAAATACAAACTACCATCAGAGAATACTATAAACACCTTTACTCAAATAAACTAGAAAACCTAGAAGAAATGAATAAATTTCTGGACATGTACACTCTCCCAAGTCTAAACCAGGAAGAATTTGAATCCCTGAAAAGACCATTAACAAGTTATGAAATTGACTCAGTAATTAAAGCCTACCAACTAAAAAAGTCCAGGAGCAGACGGATTCACAGCCAAATTCTACCAGAGGTAAAAAAAAAGGAGCTGGTACCATTCCTTCTGAAACTAATCCAAACAATAGAAAAAGAGGGAAGCCTCCCTAACTCATTTCATGAGGCCAGCATCATCCTGATACCAAAACCTGGCAGAGACACAAGAAAAATGGAATTTTAGGCCAATATCCCTGATGAGCATTGAAGTGAATATCCTCAATAAAATACTGGCAAACTGACTACAGCAGAACATCAAAAAGCTTATGCACCACAATCAAGTCAGCTTCATCCCTGGGATGCAAGACTGGTTCAACATACACAAATCAATAAAAGTAATCCATCGGGTAAGCAAAACCAGTGACAAAAACCACATGATTATCTCAATAGACACAAAAAAGGCATTTGACAAAATTCAACAGCCCTTCATACTAAAAATGCTCAATAAACTAGGTGTTGATGGAACATATTTCAAAATAATAAGAGCTATTTATGACAAACCCACAGCCAATATCATACTGAATGGACAAAAATTGGAAGCATTCCCTTTGAAACCCAGCACAAGACAAGGCTGCCTTCTCTCACCACTCTTATTCAACATAATATTGGAAGTTCTGGCTAGGGCAACCAGGCAAGAGAAAGAAATTAAGCATATTCAAATAGGAAGAGAGGAAGTCAAATTGTCTCAGTTTGCAGATGACATGATTGTATGTTTAGAAAACCCCATCATCTCAGCCCAAAATCTCCATTAGCTGATAAGAAACTTCAGCAAACTCTCATGATACAAAATCAATTTGCAAAAATTACAAGCATTCTTATACATCAATAACAGGCAGAGAGCCAAATCATGAGTTAACTCCCATTCACAATTGCTACTAAGAGAAAAAAATACCTAGGAATACAGCTTACAAGGGATGTGAAGAACCTCTTCAAGGAGAACTACAAACCACTGCTCAAGGAAAGAAGAGAGGACACAAATAAATGGAAGAACATTCCATTCTCATGAAAAGGAAGAATCAATATAGTGAAAATGGGCATACTGCCTAAAGTAATTTATAGAATCAATGCTCTACCCATCAAGATAACACTGACTTTCTTCACAGAATTGGAAAAAACTACTTTAAACTTCATATGGAACCAAAAAAAGAGCCTGCATATCCAAGTCAACCCTAAGCAAAAAGAACAAAGCTGGAGGCATCACACTATCTGACTTCAAACTGTACTACAAGGTTACAGTAATGAAAACAGCATAGTAGTGGTACAAAAGAAATATACAGACAAATGGAACAGAACATAGGCCTCAGAAATAACACCACACATCTACAACCATTTGATCTTCAACAAACCTGACACAAACAAACAATGGGAAAAAGATTCCCTGTTTAATAAATGGTGTTGGGAAAACTGACTAGCCATATGCAGAAAGCTGAAACTGGACCCCTTCCTTATATCTTATACAAAAATTAACTCAAGATGGAGCAAAGACTTAAATATAAATACTAAAACCATAAAAATCCTAGAAGAAAACCTGGGCAATAACATTCAGGACATAAGAATGGGTAAAGACTTCATGTCTAAAACACCAAAAGCAATGGCAACAAAAGCCAAAATTGACAAATAGGATCTAATTAAACTAAAGAGCTTCTGCATAGCAAAAGAAACTATCATCAGAGTCAACAGGCAGCCTACAGAATGGGAAAAAAATTTTGCAATCTAAGGAGGGGAACATCCCACACTGGGGCCTGTCGATGGGTGGGGGACTAGGGGAGGGATAGCATTAGGAGATATACCTAATGTAAGTGACAGGTTGATGGGTGCAGCAAACCATCATGGCACATGTATACCTATGTAACAAAACTGCACGCTCCACACATGTACCCCAGAACTTAAAGTATAATAATAACAATAAAAAGAAAGAAACAACTCTGCATTGCAGCTTTCACGAAAAGGATGAAAACCATGGATAAATTCTGCATCTTCAATTGAGGTACCAAGATTCTTTCATTGTGACTGATGAGGCAGTTGGCGCAACCCACTGAGAGTGAGGAAAAGTTAGGTGGAGTGAGGGCCCACCTGGGAGCTGCACATGACAAAGGGTGCTTCCTCCCCTGAGCCAAGGGAAGTGGTGAAGGACTGTGCTACCTCTTCCTAAAAACCATGCTTTTCCCATGGGTCTTCGGAAGCTGTGGACCAGGAGGTCCCCACATAAGCTCATGCCACCAGGCCTGTGGTCTGAAGCACAGAGCTGTGCAGACTCATGAGGGTTGCTCAGGTGGGTAACCACTTGAACAGGCACTGAGACACAGGAATTTTTTGCACACCCTGGTTCCAGGAACTCCGATGAGGAAGAAAATTTGTTCACTCCCAAGGGAAGGGGACTGAAGCCAGGGAGCCAAGCTGCCTCATGCTTACAGAACCCCACAAGCTAAAATCACTGGCTTGACATCCACACTGGTCAGCGCAGCAGGCTGAAGGCTGCCTAAGCAGACTAAGTTCTGGCAGGAAAGGGGCGGCCACCATCACTGTGGCTGCAGTCAGCCATTTTCCCCTGCTGTATGCCAGTGAAATTGGGTTTTCTGGCTTGGGAGCAATACTCTACAGTGCAGTACAGTGGCTGGGGAAGTTAGTAGCCAGACTGCTTCTTTAAGTGAGACCTGGATCCACTCCTTCTCATGCAGAGAGTCCTCCCTGTGGGAATTTCAGCATTCCCACCCAGGGATTTATGGACAGAACTCTGATATCCCTGAGATATCAGCCCCTATTAGGAGGGGCTGCTGTGGTATTGTGGATCAGCTGTCTTAATCTTTTCTGGCTGCTGGCTCTGGAGAATCAGGGACACCCAGTCAATAGGAATCCTCCCCAGGGCAGCACACCTGCACTGACAAGAGGCAGCCAGACTGCTTAAGTGGGTCCCTAATCCCACTCCTTCTGACTGGGTGAGAGACCTTTCAACAGGAGCTCCAGACACCTCATACAGGAGTGTTCCAGCTAACATCAGGTCAGTGCCTCTCTGGGACAGAACTCCCACAGGAAGAAGAAGGCTGCCACCCTTGCTGTTCTGCAGCCTCCACCGATAGTACCTCCAGGAGGGACCCAGACATATAGGGTAAGAAGTGGACTCCCAGCAAGACACAGAAGCCCTATGTAGAGGGGCCTGACTGCTAAAAGAAAAACAAATAGGAAGCAACAACAACAACAACAACAAGTCCCCACAAAAACTCTATCCAAAGTTCAGCATCCTCAGAGATTAAAGATAGATAAACCCATGTAGATGAAAAATAATCAATGCAAAAATGCTGAAAACTCAAAAAGCCGGACAACCTCTTCTCCTCCAAATGATCACAACACTTCTCCAGCAAGGGCACAGAAATGGGCTGAAGCTGAGATGGATATAGTGACAGAAGTAGGCTCCAGAAGATGGATAAGAACAAAATTTGTTGAGCTAAAGGAATGTATTCTAACTCATCGCAAAGAAGATAAGAATCCTGATAAAACATTACAGGAGGTGTTAACTAGAGTAACCAGTTTAGAGAGGATTATAAATAACCTGGTACAGCTGAAAGACAGAACCTGAGAACTTCACAATAAAAACACAAGTATCAATAGTCAAATAGACCAAGCAGAAGAAAGGATATCAGAGCCTGAAGACTGTCTTGCTGAAATGAGTCAGACAGAAAAGATTAGGAAAAAAAAGAATTAAAAAGAATGAACAAAACCTCTGAGAACTATGGGATTATGTAAAAAGATTGAACCTCCAATTTATGGGATACTGAAAGAGACAGGGAGAACAAAGCCAAGTTGGAAAACACACTTTAGGATATCATCCAGGCGAACTTTCCCAACCTAGCATGAGAGGCCAACATTCAAATTCAGTAAATCCAGAGAACCCCAATAAGCTATTCTATGAGAATATCAACCCCAAGACACATAATCTTCAGATTCTCCAAGGTCAAAATGAGGGAAAAAATGTTAACTGCAGCCAGAGAGAAAGGGCAGGTCACCTATAAATGGAAGCCCATCATTCTAACAGTGGACCTCTCAGCAGATACCTTACTAACCAGAAGAGATTGGGAGGCAATATTCAACATTCTTAAAAGGAATAATTTACAACCTGTAATTTCACTGGCCAAACTAACCTTCATAAGCAAAGGAGAAATTAAATCTTTTTCAGACAATCAAATGGTGACAGAATTCAGCACCACCAGGCTTGCTTTGCAAACGCTCCTGAAGGAAGCACTAAATATGGAAAAGAAAAACTGTTACCAGCCACTACAAAAACACAATGAAGTACACAGATCAATGACACTACTAAACAACTACATCAACAAGTCTGCAAAATAACCAGCTAACATTACGAAGACAGGATCACATTCACACATACAAATTTAGCCTTCAATGTAAATGGACTAAATGCCCCAATTAAAAAACACAGAATGGCAGACTGGATAGAGTCAAGATCCTTTGATGTATTGTATTCAAGAGACCCATCTCACATGAAAAGACACACACCGATTCAAAATAAAATGGTGGAGGAAATTTTACCAAGCAAATGAAAAACAAGGAAAAGCAAGGGTTGCAATCATAGTTTCTGACAAAATAGGCTTTAAACCAACAAAGATCAAAAAAGACAAAGAAGGTCCATCACATAATGGTAAAGCATCAATTTAAGAAGAAGAGCTAACTATCCTAAATAAATATGCACCCAATACAGGAACACCCAGATTCATAAAACAAGTTCCTGCAGACCTACAATGAGGCTTAGACTCCCACACAATAATAGTGAGAGACTTCAACACCCTACTGCCAATATTAGACGATTAACAACGATATTCAGGACTTGAAATCAGCTCTGGATCAAGTGGACTTAATAGACATCTACAGAAATCTCAACCCCAAATCAACAGCATTTATATTCTCCTATGACACTTATTCCAAAATTGACCACATAATCAGAAGTAAAACACTCCTTAGGAAGAGCAAAAGAACTGAAATCATAACAAACAGTCTCCCAAACCACAGCGCAATCAAATTAAAACTCAGGATTAAGAAACTCATACAAAACCACACAACTACATAGAAATTGAACAACCTACTTCTGAATGACTCCTGGGTAAACAACAAAATTAAGGGAAAAAAATCAAGAAGTTTCTTGAAACAAATGAGAACAAAGAGACACCATACTAGAATCTCTGGGACATAGCTAAAGCAGTGTTAAGAGGGAAATTTATAGCACTAAATGCCACATCAAAAAGCTAGAAAGATCTCAAATCGACATCCTAACATCATGACTAAAAGAATTAGAGAACCAAGAGCAAACAAACTCAAAAGCTAGAAGACAAGAAATAACCAAGATCAAAGCAGAAGTGAAGGAGATAGAGATATGAAAAATACTTCAAAAAATCAATAAATCCAGGAGACAGTTTTTGAAAAAAATAATAAAATAGGTAGACCACTGTAGGGGTGGGTTGCCCCTCCACACCTGTGGGTGTTTCTCGTAAGGTGGAACGAGAGACTTGGAAAAGAAAAAGACACAGAGACAAAGTATAGAGAAAGAAATAAGGGGACCTGGGGAACCAGCATTCAGCATATGGAGGATCCCCCCAGCCTTTGAGTTCCCTTAGTATTTATTCATCATTCGTGGGTGTTTCTCAAAGAGGGGGATATGTCAGGGTCACAAGACAATTGTGGGGAGAGGGTCAGCAGACAAACACGTGAACAAAGGTCTTTGCATCATAGACAAGGTAAAGGATTAAGTGCTGTGCTTTTAGATATGCATACACATAAACATCTTAATGCTTTACAAAGCAGTATTGCTGCCCGCAGGTCCCACCTCCAGCCCTAAGGCAGTTTTTCCCTATCTGAGTAGATGGAACATACAATCGGGTTTTATACTGAGACATTCCATTGCCCAGGGACGGGCAGGAGACAGATGCCTTCCTCTTGTCTCAACTGCAAGAGGCATGCCTTCCTCTTATACTAATCCTCCTCAGCACAGACCCTTTACGGGTGTCGGGCTGGGGGATGGTCAGGTCTTTCCCTTCCCACGAGGCCATATTTCAGACTATCACATGGGGAGAAACCTTGGACAATACCTGGCTTTCCTAGGCAGAGGTCCCTGCAGCCTTCCGCAGTTTTTGTGTCCTGGGTACTTGAGATTAGGGAGTGGTGATGACTCTTAAGGAGCATGCTGCCTTCAAGCATCTGTTTAACAAAGCACATCTTGCACCGCCCTTAATCCATTTAACTCTGAGTTGACACAGCACATGTTTCAGAGAGCACGGGGTTGGGGGTAAGGTTATAGATTAACAGAATCTCAAGGCAGAAGAATTTTTCTTAGTACAGAACAAAATGGAGTCTCCTATGTCTACTTCTTTCTACACAGACACAGTAACAATCTGATCTCTCTTGCTTTTCCCCACAGACCACTAGCTAAACTAATAAGAAAAAGAAGAATCAATAGACACAATAAAAAAATGATAAAGGGGATAGCACCAGTGACCCCAGAGAAATAGAAACAAACATTAGTGAATACTATAAACGTTTCTATGGAAATAAACTAGAAAATCTAGAATAAATGGATATATTCCTGGACACATACACCTCCGAAGACTGAACCAGGAAGAAGCTGAATCCCTGAATACACTAATAACAAGTTCTGAAATTGAGGCAGTAATAAATAATCTACCAACCAAAAAAGCTCAAGACCAGATGGATTTCCCGATCCATCTTCTATTCTATTCTATTCTATTCATTATTCTAATTGAAGCAACACAATAATTATAAACCAAACACAGGATGTTCTCACTTAGAAGTGGGAGCTATGCTATGAGGATGCAAATGAATAAGAATGATGTAATGGACTCTGTGGACTCAAGGGGGAAGGTGGGAGGGGGTGAGAGATAAAAGGGTACACATTGGGTTCAGTGTACACTGCTTGGGTGATGGGTGCACCAAAATCACAGAAATCACCACTAAAAACTTATCCATGTAACCAAACACTACCTGTTTCCCAAAAACTATTTAAATAATATTATAAATGAACCTTCATAAACATAAGTTATCTAACTCAGTCCCTCTAAATAGTTGATGCAGGAAGTCTATAACCCCAGAAGATACCTCTCACCCAATATTTTTAGAAATAGCTGTATATTGTCCAAGGGTAAAGTTATGTTTCTAGGTGCATTCCACCTTTATAAATACTTTAAAAGAAGCCATTCTTTTTCACAATAAGTTAAGTAGTTAACCTAATAGCAATTGTAAGTGGTTAGCAGAAGCAAAGCAAACCAAAGTAACTGCTAACATTTAAAAAACAGAAGTATCACCAAAGAGATTATTGTACATTTCAAATGGATAACTTCTAAAAATGATTCTGACTGCAACCCCAATAGTTCTATCAGCTACAGCCATTATTAATGGCTACAGTTCTATCAGCTACAGCATTATTAATGCTTCTCACCGTCTGAACATAACTAAACCAAAATAATATGGTTATGTATGGAAATTTGAAATCTCTACTTGAGAGCATCTAGTACACAGTGTTTCCTCCACAAATATTTGTTTTGATTTTCTTCTAGAATATATATTGATTTTGGTGCAAGGCAACTACGCTTTGAAAAATATATTTGTTTTCATTTCCTGTGTAACAAATTACTACAAATTTAGTAGCTAAAAACAATACATATTTATTAGCTCACAGTTCTCTAGGTCCTAAGTCTAGTACAGCACAGCTTACTTCTGTGCTGAAAGTATTACATGGTTGAAATTAAGGTGTACATTTCAAGGGGTGGAAATCAAAGTAAAATTACATAAGGGCTCTTATATGGAGGCTCTGGGGGAAAACCACTTCCAAATTCATTCTAGTTGTTGGCAAAATTCAGTGTCTTGTGGTCATATGACGGACGCCCTTTTTTCTTGCTGGCAGCCAGCCAGGGAGCTCTCTTAGCTTCTTAAGATTGCTCACATTTCTTCTCATGTGGCCACCTCCTTCCTCAAACTGGAAATCGTGTGCTGAATCTCATTACAACTTTAAATCTTTCTGGTTTTCTTTTTTTCTGCCACCAGCCTGACAAAGCTGTCTTCTTTTAAGGGTTCATGTGATTCCATGGGGCAAACCAAATTATTTAGGATAAGTGCTCTCTTTTTAGGATCCACTATGCCATGTAATATAACATTTTCAAAAGAGTCACATCTCATCATTGTGTCAGGTTCTGAGGATTAAGGTGAGACATCCCTGGGAGATCATTTTAGAAATTTTGCTTATCATATGAGGTCACATGGTAATGCTATAGGAACCTTTTACAAAATAACTCTTTATAACTAGGAAAACTGAGACATCTCTCAAGGAAGAATATATTCCTAGGAAAATAAGAAGAAACAAAATTCTCCACGATATGCTTATTTCACATTGCATGCTTCTATCAAAACATCTCATGTACCCCATAAATATATATCCCTGATGTGTACCCACAACAATTAAAAATATATTAAAAATCCCTTTGAAAGCCGACTTCTGATCTTATAACATGGATATCTACCATTTAGACAAAGGATTCAATTTATCCGAGTGAAAGATAACATGCTGCTTCCAATAAGCACTCATCACAGTAAGGAGGTTTGGGCTTTTGCTAAAAGAGATTATTCTTTAATTAGTGTGGGAACGTTGTAGAACCACAAACAGAAACTGAATTATATTTCAGAGCAATTCTGCAAACTAAGATAAATTTCATGATGTGCAGTATCAAAAGGAAAGATTGACCAGAATAAGTAGTATTCTTTTTCAAACATGGGCAAGCACACACACACACACACACACACACATACACACACACACACACACCACGCATATTTACCTGAGCTACCATCTATGAAAGGAGGGGGAGTGGACTAGAGAATAATCTCTAAATTCCTGAAGGTTCCTTTAAGCTTCCATAATCTGATATAGGATAAATAAAAAGCATTTAAATGAAAACAGTATTTAATTACATGTTAGGTTGTGTTTTGTTTTCTTTTTCTTCTCTTTTGACTTCTGTTAATCATTACAAAGAACCTACAACAATTTGAATACACAAACAAGATTGCAGAGACAATAGTTAAACCTCCTAAGGGAATAAAATATTTGACATCACTTATATACATATCAACCATCATGGACAAAGCAGATTAACATGAATTGTGCAGGCTAACCCTGTGGTAGGTTGGTTTCTTATTTGTTTTATCTTATGTATAATTTCCTCACTTTACTGAAGTCTCTATACAAATATTACCTCTTCATAGAAGCCTTCTACAGACTTCCTATCTACAATATGGCCATTTTTATTCTTTACTTATTCCTTTTATTTAATTGTTTTATATGACTTATCACTACCTGATATGATACTATTATTTGTTTGGTTATTTTCTGACTTTGCCACTAAAATTTAAGCTCCATGAGGCTGGGGAATTTGCATCTTTGATCCTAATATGTCCTTTGTATCAGAACAGTGCTTAGCATATAGTAGGTACTTAATATCCTCAATTTACTGACAAAGAGATACATTTACAAATATAATAAATCCTATAGAGATATAATATTTATACACACATATCCATATATACTTATCTTGCTTTACAGAAATTCAGATCTAGCTTAACATTCCTTCTAATCAGTTTATATCTGTGAAAATGTAAAATTTAAATTTGCTGTAGAAGACTATCAGGTGCTAACTGCATATCAGTTTATAAGTGTTTCAATAAGCACAAAGATAAGCACCAATTTAAAATACATTTTCTAAGTCTTAGTTCTATTGCAAGGTCTACACATTTTATACTGATGTAAATATTTTTATCAGGATCATATTACCAATAAGCTAATTATTATTTAATTATGCTATATTGTAAAAGCTTTTGGAATTACACATGAAACAATTTTATTTGTAAAATTAGGGCATGTCAATCTTTTCAAGAAATGACAGGAAGATAATCTATGCCAAATGTGATTATTCTAAGGAAAAGTATACCTTCAATAGCATTTTCTAATTATCAAACCAGGAAAAGGTAACTTACAAAACAATATGCTATCCATGAAAGCTTGATATTGATGAAAAGGTTGGTTTACCATTTTAAGTACCTTTCAAAAGATGTGTGACAAAACTACTCTTACAGCCAAATAATCAGAATTGCTGCTGGCATAGCTCTGTTCTACTCTTCATTTGGGTAACATGATAAGATGCTACACTTGAATTCTTCAAAAACCTGAGCTATGACACTAATGACTGAGTTAGCTGTGCATTAATGTTAATGTATATATTAATAAATCTCTTTTTCATTCATCAGAGCTCCAAGAGAGAATACAGGATAGGTGGAGTAAAAGATAAGGAGACCTTGTTAAAGACTTAAGTTGCACATAGCATGTTTAACACAGTTATCTTATAAAAACCATATGTTTCACTGCAGTTAGTAATAATGCCCTAACACTGATAGGTTATATTTTTGATACTTAGACATTTTTCTTTCCCGTGATTCTGTTTTGAGTCCAATCTTGACTTATAACATGATGAGACAAATGTACAAATTCGTAATTTACAGCAAAATATAAATTATGAAGCCTCGATGTCTAATGAATTCCAGCAATTGTACACAATCTCACCAACCTTCCTCTGTTTTCTAACTTTCTGCTCAGCCTGTCGTTTAAGATTAAGTGTAAACATGCAATTCTGTAACAGTAAAAAGAAGTATAATCCTATACTGACAGAATTACTTCACTGAGACACTAGGGACATAAAAGACTTAATTATCTTTTTAGGCTCTGCAGATGAAGCAAATTCATCAGTGTTGTCTAAACAACAGAGGTAGGCACATTAGGAAGCAGATACTAATTTTGCTGCAGCCACAATGCAATAGTCTATAAGCCATGAAGGCTGAGCTGCATACTTCCAGCCTACAAGCATTGCCGAGTTTACTGTAGAATCTGTTAAAATAGCTCTTCTGTTACTGTTGGTCATAACTGAGATATCATTAAAGATTAATCAGTGGCAGAATAAAATGTTTAAATCTATGCTTTTGAGGGAATAATTTTAAGCAGCTCTTAAGATGTTCAAATAAAAAAATATTCCTTTTTCCATTTATATAACTTAAAATATAATTAATATATTTTGAAATATTGTGTTAACTATACAAATATTATAATTTTGCTTCTGCTTTCTCTCAGTTAAATCTTATGCATTACAATATATTTGTGAGCCTCAGAATTTTGAAAGATCTCTACATTGCAATATTCTTTAGTACTTCATAGAATATTCATGGAAAAATAATAAAATATTTGGAGATGATTAAGAAAGTGCATAAAATATTTTTAAATAATCATATTTTCATGGATAATTATGTTTTAAAATCTACTTCATATAAGAGAAAGTGACTTAGCTCTGTCTATAAAACTAATTAAAAATTTCATTTTAAATGTCTCTTTTTGCTGGTTATCACATACCTTTAGTAATTTGCTTATCTTGCAGGACATTGCTCCCTCGACAGTGGCAGATGTATCTGAAAATATGATAGCTTTTTAACAATATCCTGCCATGTTTGACTACTCTTTTAACTGTTCTTCCCTTCATTTAGAAATTAAATGGATTTTTTTATGCATGAAAAGTGTCTGAGCTATTAATAAGAGTATATGAGAATTAGGTAAAATGCAACAAAGTAAGTTTTTTAAAAAAGGTCTAATTTTAGGTGAGAAATAGATGCATATATTTCTTTAATATCCTCTGTAATATCCATCAATAAAATTGTATATTTCTCTAATATGGTTTTGTCACTGAACATTTTTACCACTACACTTAGGAACAAAATGTGAATGATGGTAGTTGTTTTGCTCTGCATTAAACTAGCTGTCATATATGAAAGCTGGGAATTTATTTCACAGAACCAATGTCATCCTCAGCACAAGTTTGAATACAGAAAAAGGTTTGGCATCATTGAGAATTCTTTTTTAAGGAATAGAACAGACTTTGTTCAAATCCAAAGAAAGAAATCTTTAAACATCAGGTTACTTTGATGCCTTTAATCTCAAGTTGAGAGAAATTTCACATCTCACTTTTGAAGGAGACAAGAAAGATGTTCAACTACAATGGCATTGGCAAACAAATAATAAAAGTAAAATTACGGTATATGTTCATAACTTTTACAAAACATAATTGGTTAAAAAAGGCAAATCCAGTTAAATAACTATTTCTGCCTTTATGACAATAAGTGGGTGGGTTGAAAAGCTTTTCTTTATAATAAGTATTTATTCAGCAAAGTCTATTTGAGCACTCTGAAGAGGCAATGTACCTGAATTAATAGGACATGAATGCTTTAAACTGGAAAGAGTGTATGAGATACACAGAAGTTAGTTAAAACTTGAATCAGAATTCTACCAGTATATTCATATTCTTATATACAATTGTCAGCCTATAAAGATCAGGTCTTATGAGAGGGTGACCTAGTTTATATGCATGTATTTAATTACTCATTTCTACTTCTTATTCCACAAAACTATTTGACATGTGTAAGGTTGGAATTTCATGACACTCATTAAATTTTCAATGACTCTATGGTTTAAAGAAATCATTTGCTTAATGTGTATCAAAGATTGAAATATTTGGTTTCTAAGACACAACTTACGAACATTTTATTAGTGACATCATTATTGTTTCTATTTGAGCAAAAATTATTTCTAGATTATTTTGTTTTATACAAAAAATAATGGTTATACAATACACATAAATCAGTCATTTTCTTCAGCCTAAAAATGGCATGATGATTTCCCAAGTGTCTACAAATACATCCTTCTCAGAATGTTTGTCAAAATTTTATAATTTTATAATTCATTTATGTATTTAAACGCAACATTGCTTGTTAATTGGAGAATAGATTTTACTTCAATACACTTCAAACCCTGATTTGTGTTAGCCCTTCTGTTTTGTACAGCATCGCTTCAGTTGGGGAGAGTTGCTTGCCTATTAAGCATCTGCGGCATCAGGTGTGAAGGATTTTATATGCACTGATGACAAAAGAACAAAAAGATGTATGAATATTATATAGACATTACTTTCCAGTCACAATTCCTTTACTATCATTTCATAATTATATTCAGTATGTGGGCTCAGAACTTAACTTCACATCTTACTCCAAGATGGCTTTGGCTGAAGTTTTCTTTTCCATCAAAAAGTGTAATACATCATATTTAAAATAAAACAGGGAAACCCTAATTAATGCAGTTTTGGGATTTTTTTTTCCCTATATGGATAAGAAAAAAATTAAACATATCATCTTAATTTTCATTGTTGCCATAAGAAATCACTACAAATTTAGTAGCTCAAAACAACATCTATGTTTTATCTCACATTTCTTTATTTCTATAGATCAGAAATCTGGCAGGCTCAGCTAGGTTAACAGCTTTGGGTCTTACAACAGAGAAATCAAGGTGTTAGCCTGCTGGGATCTTACTGGGAGTCCCTGGGAATTATCTGCTTCCAAGCACATTCAGATAAGTGGCAGAATATAGTTTCTTGCCCCTTTAGGACTGAGGTAGAATTTTCTTGCTGGCTGCCTGATGGGGGCCATCCCTACCTCCTGGATGGTAGATTGGCCCTATCTAATGATCCAGACACTTTTCCTATCCTAAGGTTTGTAACGTTAATTACATCTGCAAAATCCTTTCTGCCATATAACCTAACATAATAATAGGTTCCAGGGATTGTGGCATGGGCATCTTAGGAGGAGCCATACTGCCCACTATACTTACTCACCACAATTAAACAAAACTTAATTGATATAGATTAACCATATAAATATAAAACTGATGTCATAAAAGCAATTGCAGAAAATATGGTCAATTTTTTTCCAATAATGATAGTTTGGAGAATACCTTTCTCACCATGATACAGCACTCAGAAATTATTTTTAAAAAATTGATAGATTGGATGATTACTAAAGCTTAAAATGTACGGAAAGTAAACAAAAAATAAAAACATAAATTCAAAAATAGATAATATCATGTAAATAATAGAGAAATGGGTAACATCCTTGCTTACATAAATCTATAAAAATTAATAATAGGCCAGGTGTCGTGGCTCATGCCTGTAATTCTAACACTTTGGGAGGCCGAAGGCGGGAGGATTGCTTGAGCCCAGAAGTTCAAGACCAGCCTGGGCAACTTAGTGAGACCATGTCTCAACAATAAATAAATAAATAAAATTATCCAGGTGAAGTGGCACTTGCCGTAGTCCCAGCTGCTTGGGAAGCCGAGGTGGGAGGATTGCTTCAGCTAAGGAGGTTGAGGCTGCAGTGAGCTATGAGCTATGACCTCACCACTCCACTCCAGCCTAGGTGACAGAGCAAGACCCTGTCTCAAAAAAAAGAGAAAAAAATAAAAACCAAAAATCTGGAAATGGGAAAAAGATATAAACATGCAATTCACAGAAGAAATACAGCTACTCAATTAATATAAAATATTCATAATATATTGAATGCTTAAAAACATACAATGCATTCACAGATCCTTTGAAAGAAGTGGCACACTGCTGAAAATTCTGTGAGACAGGCAAAAAACTTTGAGTTCCCAAACTATAAAAGGGGGAAAACCTACCTCCAAAACACATCCCCACTGGGAACCTGAAAATCCAGATTACAGGAGGATTTAACCTTACCTAAAGCCGAAATGGATTTAGTGTGAAATATGAAAGTAGAAGCAACAGCAAGAAGAGCCCTGTAGGCACTCCCATTTCCAGCTTGAGCCCAGGGAAGCCATCTCTGACTATATCTCACAAGTATCTTTGGGGAAGGCAGCCGATGGAATTTGGAAATGGTTACAGGGTGAAAGAAGTTTCCAACTAAATTTTGTAATAAATTCAACAAGGTGCAAACTCTTTTGAGCAGAATCCAAGGGGTGAACAAGAACTGCTACCGAAAGGAGTGCAGGAGCTGTGGCTGAAAATGTGGGCAGGCTGGAAGGGGTGAGGCCTAGAAACTTGCTTGCTTTATCAGCAGGGAAGTATGTAGCCTGGGCCAAGGATACAATATAAATGTACACAAATCAGTAGCACTGCTATACACCAACAGTGACCACACTGAGAATCAAATCAAGAACTCAATCACTTTTATGACAGCTAAAAAAAATAAATAAATACTTAGAAATATACCTAACCCAGGCGGGAAAGACCTCTACGAGGAAAACTACAAAGCACTGCTGAAAGAAATCATAGACAACACAAACAAATAGAAACACATCCCACACTCATGGATGGGTACAATCAATATTGTGAAAATAAACATACTGCCAAAAGTAATCCCCAAATTCAATGCAGTTCCCATCAAAATACCACCAGCATTCTTCACAGAACTAAAAAAAAAAATCCTAAAGTTAATATGGAACAAAAAAAGCCTGTATGACAACAGCAAGACTAAGTAAAAAGAACAAATCTGGAGGCATGACATTATGTGACTTCAAACTATACTATAAGGCTATAGTTACCAAAACAGCAAGGTACTGGTATAAAAACAGGCACATAGACAATTAAAACAGAATAGGGAACCCAGAAATAAAGCCAAATACTAATAGCCAACTGATCTTTGACAAAGCAAACAAAAACGTAAAGTGGGGAAAGGGCACCCTATTCAACAAATGGTGCTGGGATAATTGTCAAACCACATGTAGAAGAATGAAACTGGATCCTCCTCTCTCACCTTATGCAAAAATCAACTAGAGATGGATCAAAGACTTAAATCTAAGACCTGAAGCCATAAAAGTTCTAGAGGACAACATCAGAAAAACTCTTCTAGATGTTGGCTTATGAAAAGAATTTATGACGAAGAACCCAAAAGCAAATGCAACAAAAGCAAAGATAAATAGATGAGAATTGATTAAACTAAAAAGCTTATGTACAGCAAAATAAATGATCAGCAGAGTATACAAACATCCCACAGAGGGGGGGAGTATATTCACAAATTATGCAACGAAGTACTAATATCCAGAATCTACAAGGAACTCAAACAAATCATCAAGAAAAAAACAAATAACCCCTTCAAAATTGGGCAAAGAGCATGAATAGGGATTTCTCAAAAGAAGACATACAAATGGCCAACAAACATATAAAAATTGCTGAACATCACTAATGATCAGTAAATGCAAATCAAAAGCACCATAAGATATCACCTTACACCTGCAATAATGGCCATAATTTAAAAATAAAAAAATAATAGCTGTTGGCATGGATGTGATTAAAAGGGAATACTTTTACAATACTGGTGGGAATGTAAACTAGTACCGCCACTACAGCAAACAGTATGGGGATTCCTTAAAGAACTAAAAGTAGAACTGCCATTTGATCCAGCAACCCCACTACTGTGTATCTACCCAGAAGAAAAAAAGTGATTATATGAAAAAGACACTTGTATCCACATGTTTATAGCAGCACAATTTGCAATTGCAAAAATATGGAATCAGCCTAAATGCCCATCAACTAGCAAGTGGATAAAGGAAATGTGGTATACATATGCAACATGGAATACTACTTTGCCATAAAAATAAATGAAATAATGGCATTCACAGCAACCTGGATGGAGTTGGAGACCACTATTCTAAGTGTAATAACTCAGGAATGGAAAAACAAATATCCTGTGATTTCAGTCACAAGTGGGGGCTAAGCTATGAGGATGCAAGGGCATTAGAATGATATTATGAACTTTTGGTACTTGGGGGCAAGGGTAGGAGCGGGCGAGGGATAAAAGACTACATATTAGGTACAGTGTACACTGCTTAGATGATGGGTGCATCAAACTCTCAGAAATCACCACTAAGGAACTTATCTATGTAAGCAAACAACATCTGTGCCCCAAAAACTATTGAAATAAAAAAATAAATAAAAATGAACACATACACACACGGACACAAAATTACAATGAAATAACAAGTTTGGTCTATGGCCTTATCACCCCAAATCAAATGCACCCAATCTCATCTAAGATATCATTTCATCTATAAGTTAGGAGATTTTAAATGAACTGATAATAGCTTATGTTTCTAAAATTCTGTGAGTTAATGTATTTAGCATGCACACTTTGTGGGGAAGTAATTTAATAGAATATTTGGAAGTAAAACTTGGCACTATGTATCAAAATGTTTAAAACATTTATACTTTGCTGTAGCATTTCTACAGAAATGCATAAATATGCAAAGGTAAATATGCAGTTATATTTACTAAACATTGCTCTAAAAGGGAAAAAATTAGAAGTAAAAAGAAAAAAATACCATGCCACAATTAAAATAAATAAATTGATATTAAAACAGACTAGATAAATATTACTGAATTAATAACTAATTAAAAACTATAAACTGAATTATTTTTCTTTAAAACAAATATGACTTTATATATCAAAAGAGTCCATAATAATATACAACAATATTGCTAGTAGTGGTTTCATCTAGGAAGTGCAATTTAGAATAAGGGAAATATATATTTACATTTTACATCATATTCTTCATTTTTTAAAATGTTTATACTAAGCATGTTAAGAACATTGTAACAAAAATATTCTAAAGTCTATTATTTGTTTTATTTTTGTGTATGTTAGCTTATATTTAAGGACTAATTGCTAACTTGATCACATTTTAATCATAGAACCTAAATCGTTATGTTGATTTTTTTACTAAAACCATTCTTCTTATAATTGAATATGATTTATAAAACATAGAAAACACTGAGGTAGTGCATTCTCTATTATGTGTAGGTAAAAGCACTCATTAACAAATAACATAAGCAAACATATACATATATGTGTGTGTGTGTATTTATGTGTATATATATATATATATATATATATATAAAACATTCTTATGTCCAACATATTTTTCATACAAATTATACAAAATTAAAATATCACAGAATGTTAAAGGCACTTGGCACATAATGTTTAGATAAGGGCATTATATCATAAGTTTCTATCATTAAGTATGCATCTTATTTTAGTTTAGATCCATGTCATAGAAATTAACCAATCAGATCATTCTCACTTTAACTTTCCAGACCCAGCAAATATCACCCTAGATGTAAACCAATCTCTCACTATTACAGTATTTCAACAAACTTCACAAAATCCATGAATGAGGTTGATTTTTATAAGTGTTGTAAAGGACTAGCACCTCAATGTTTGGCCAAGATTACTTATAATGAATGAAAAATCTTGGAGAACTGTGGAGTTTTAACTTGATTTTTCTTTCATTTACAAATTTTCAGGATTGCTTATAGATAATAGAGTGCCTTGTTAGATTATATTGTTGATAATCAAACGTATCCTATGTATATTTTCACATTTTAAGGTTAATTTCTGCTTAAACACTGTGTCATCCTCATAATACACACTCAGTAAATGTTTTTGAATAATACAGATATGAATAAACATAATGCCTTCCAAGGCAGTTCATTTCATATTTTGAGAGTATAGAATCTTTTGTAGGTATAAAATATATTTAGTTAAAATCTATCTTCTTGCAGTTCTCACTTATTAGACTAATGACGAAATCAATGAATGTCATGTGATCAAGGAAAGCCATATCATAGTGAGATGTGGAGAAATGGGTCATTATCAATTGAGAGAGAGATTCACATCATTTTTAGTGTTATATTAAAAGAGAAATTACAAAATAAATATGTCATTATCTTCTGGTAATAATACATTAAGTTCTTATGAGATTGGTCCTCTTATTGATAGTACTTATAAACTTTGGACACAATACACAGAAGAGTTACCAAAAATTCCTTGAAAAGTGAGCAGGAGGAGGTCAACCTGGTTGGGAGTCTATGCTTTGAAAAGAAAAATTTTATGAAGTGAATTCTCATTTTTTGTCTTCTAGCCTGAGGACAGACAGAGCTGTCATGGGTTGTAGGTCTGTGTAGGACACCAGTGAATAAATGTCTTTCTGGTCTATGGAACAAGAAAACTGGAGGTGAAGAAACTACAGAGACAAGACAATGGTGAGGCCAGGTGCGGTGGCTCACGCCTGTAATCTCAGGACTTTGGGAGGCCAAGGCAGGCGGATCACCTGAGGTCAGGAGTTCGAGACCAGCCTGGCCAACATGGTGAAACCCCGTCTCTACTAAAAATATAAAAATCAGCCAGGCGTGGTGGCAGGTGCCTGTAATCCCAGCTACTCTGGAGTCAGGCAGGAGAATCACTTGAACCTGCCTAGATCACACCACTACACTCCAGCCTGGGCAACAAGAGTGAAACTCCACTAAAAAAAAAAAAAAAAAGAAATTCTAGAAGGGAAAGAGCCAAAAATGGGGTCCATAATTCTTTCTACCCATATTTATGACTAATCTATGACCTATGTATGTGTGATGCAGACAAAAGAGGTCAGCTAAAGAGAAAGAATCTGAACTGAGATTTGAGCTGCCCCTTTCCTGTCCAAACAATATAACCGACATTATTTAAAGATAATAAAATATCAAATGCCCACATATTTTTAATGTTCATCATACAATCCAGCATTATCCAACAAACAGGCAAGAAAATAGAAAATATTCTCAAAAGGAAAAAAAAAAGCCTTAACAAAATAATGAAAATAAGAAAGAAAGGAAGACAAGATGAAGAGAACTTGAGGGTAGATAACAAGATGTTGTTACACATAAAGAAAAAAAAAAGAGGAAATAAGTGAGCATAAACTCAGAGACCTGTTAGATAATATCAGTCTAGAATACATGCACTTAGAGTTCCATGAATAGAGAGAGAAAATGGGAAAAAGAAACAATATTTAAAGAAATAAGGGTGGATTTTCTTAAAATATGATATAACACATAAGTTTTAGAAATCCAAGAGGCTCAGCAAACACCAAGAAAAATAAAACAAAGAAATCCATGCCAAGGTATATCATAGTCCAACTGTTTAAAGCCAAAGATAAGCAAATCTAAATTTAAAATGTAAACAAACAAGAGAAAGAAAAGAAAGAAAAAGAAAGAAAGAAAGAAAGAAAAGAAAGAAAGAAAGAAAGGCCATACATATGAAGGAACAAATATTTGATTAATAGCTACTTTCTCATAAGAAACTATGAAGGACAGTAGATAGTGAAATAACTCTAAAAGACTGAAAGGAAAAAAAAATCTACAAAAATTAAATTCAGAGAAAAAAAGCTAAGAGAGTTTGTTTTTGCCAAAACTTTACAGTAAGAAAAATGGCAAATGAAGGTGTTTTTGGTTGGAAAAAGTATGCCAGATAGACACATAGATCTTTAGAAATGAGTGAAGAGCACTGGAAATGTTAAAAAATTATAATGTATGGCTGGGTACATTGGCTCCCGCCTGTAATCTTAACGCTTTGGAAGGCTGATGCAGGTGGAGGATTACTTGAGCCCAGGAGTTTGAGAACAGTCTGGGCAATATGATGAAACCCCATTTCCACAAAAAAATACAAAAATTAGCCTGGCATGATGGCACACCTTTAGTCCCAGCTACTTAGGAGGTTGAGGTGGGAGGATTCTTGAGCCCAGGAGGCAGAGGTGGCAGTGAACTGAGATTGTGCCACTGCACTCCAGCCTGGGAGACAGAATGAGAATCCACCTGTGACCTGGAAGCCCTGAATTTGAGATATGCTACCTTTCCAGGCTGAACCAATGTCCACCTTCCATGTATTGATTTATGTCTTTGCCTGTAACTTCTATCTTCCTAAAATGTACAAAAGCAAGCTGTAACCCAGCCACCTTGGGCACATGTTCTCAGGACCTCTTGAGGCTGTGTCATGGAAAATGGTCCTCAACCTTGGCAAAATAAACGTGTAAACTGATTGAGACATGACTCAGATATTTTTTGGTTTAAAAAGGGAAGAAGCTTAAGGAGTATCTTTCACCCTCGTCCCAAAGAAGGTTTGAGGTACTTTTGTACTGCAAGCAACGTTTGCAACTACATAGAGCCTATAGCATCTGGGATCTGCTATAATTGGCCTTACCATCTCTCACAGATGCAGAACTCAGACAACATGACCCCAAAACTTCCTCATCTGGTCACTTACATGAACACTTGAATCTACCAGCCAAGTTTTAATTTTTTTTCCCCTTTAAGTCTCCACCATTAGTCATGAGGAGGATTCATCCTCACAATAATCTTGATTATATAAAAATATGCAAGGAGAAATATAGTAAAATGAAGGATTGCTCTTATGGAGAATTTTACAATTTCATAGTCAAAAATTAGAAGACAGTGATGACTAGATCTGCTTTTATCAAAAGTAAATAAATGTTTTGGAGTGACACGATGTAATTCCACATCTTAACTCGGAGAGCATTTGTTGAATTAAGTTAGCCGATGAAGGGTTGTCCTTTAAGTGAATCCATCAATAGTCCCCTAGATAACGAAGATTCCCTTTGGCATAAAAGACATACTCAGAATAAGGAAGAAAGTGTTTTTCTTTTTTACTATCCTCAAATTTGCCTATTTCTCACATTGTGCTATGGAAAAACACATTTTCTGAAGCTGATGTGTGTTACTCTTTTTTAAGAAAAACAGTTCTTTCAATACTGCTTTATATTTAAATATCTTCTAGATTGTTCACAAATAGCTTGGGAGCAGATGAAGGCAATTTTATATTTTCTTTCTTAAACATGTTGTGCTTGTTAAGCTAAAGTGTGTGTGGAATGAGAATAGAGAGGGATAACATAACTTTTCTTCCAGTATCTCTTAGGATGTGGCCTGCATGTGGAGGAAACAAACAACCAGAATATGCAGTGGGGCTTATAATATCTCAGAGAATCTAAAAGCCAGATTTGTTAATGGTGATTTATAATTCAGAAAATATGCTGGCAGAAAATGTAAAGCTGTTTGTAGATATAAGCCTGGTTGCTAGACTACCTTAAAAAGAGAAATTGGGAGACTTGAATATTGCATGAAGTAGCTGATATGAACAAGAAAACAAAAACAAGCCTGCAGAACTTACAAATGCTTTTTCAGATACAGTTATACACAAAGAACTGTCTGAAAGACCTACAACTTGATCAAATTTTAATAGGCATTCTGGCTGCCTTTGATTGTTCACAACACAATACGTATTAGTATTGTTTTTGAGGAAAATGTGATCGTTGAAAACTCTCCTTATTTTATTTATATATATATATGGTAAAAACGTCTTGACTATATGTGGTATAAACTTGAAGAAAACTAAGTTTGCAAAGCAAAGCAGTGATTTCCATCAATAAATCATAAAATATAGGACACAAAAACAAAATAAATGTGAAAGTACAAGTCAAAGAAAAGAAACTAAAATTCACTAGATTTTTCAGAACTTATTAGGACTTATACAAATCATTTCAATCATCAGACCTTTCATACAAGTGATTGTCAACATGCATAGACTGTCTTCTTCAAGACCTGATTGACAACATCAAGAAAAATTGGATTACTAAAAATCATTTCATTTTTATAAAATGCCATTATCTGTAAAGATAATGTTTTAAACTTAAGAGTTAGAAATTATATTATTCAATGTTTATCAATGGGAAAAATTAATGGATGCTTTCAGATAAATTTGATTTATTCTAAAAATATGGTCTTAATATATTATATGTAGCTCTTATTTTAAATGTAATCTACAAAAAGTATACATTTACATGTGCAATATTGATTTCCTTATATGGAAACTGAATAATAGTTTGAATTTATTATTCACTTTAAAATTGTTTTATGTTGAAGATTTAGTTAAAAAATATGAATTTAAATACTTATTTTGTCTAATACACTTACTAGGTACAAAGGGATACAGAAATGTAAGATATTATCTCTACAACAACAAAAATTTATAATTTATTGGCATAGATAGATGAACAAGCTAAAAATAACTATTTGTTGCTCTAAGAACAAATAGAGAATGCAAAAAAAAAGAAAAGCTGCAGGACACACAAGAGATGCACTTAATTAAGGCAGGAGGAATGTGGGGAATATGCAGAAAGCTACTATTGAGCTGAATTTTGGAGGACAGGTAGATATTGTTGAAGAAAGCCTGGAGCTGATTTTGCTTGTAGATAATAACACAGACAAAGACTAGGAGTTTCAAGGTGGCATTGTGCTGTATAGAAACTTCACATAATCTATTATTGTATTGTTGGAGTATTGTATGCTCAGCAAAGAGGAGGCTTAAAAAAGATTGCAGACATTAGACTGTAAAGAGTCTGGTGGGACATGCTACGTGACTGGAACATTATGACTTCAGAGGTTCTGGCAAGACATTGAAGCAGTGGAGTGCAAACGTCAGTTTTGCATTCTCTAAAATTACTCCAGTGACTATTACAAGGTGGGGTGCTGCAGAGTGAGGAGATATGAAGAAGAATGTTTGGCCTGGACAGTGCTGAAGAGAAAAAGATCAGTTAGCAGTATCGTGCAGTGTCCAGGTTAGATGTGATCACAGTCCAAATATGAGATGGACAGCAGAAATGGAAAAAAGTGAAAAAAGTAATAGCTATTTAGGAGCTAAAATTAAAGGCTTTTAGCAGTAGTATCACCTGTACACTCAGCTGTGGATTTTCCTTTAGAAGTCTTCTGCACTCCAGGTACAGGAGCAGAATAGGCAGATGGCTGGATTGATCTAGGGCTAGAATTGTTTAAAGTGGTTAGTAGAAAAGAAAAGGTAGCAAGAAATATGAAGGTACTGGTGAGATAATAAGTGACTTAATTGAAAGTAAATTTTATACTTGCATAGTATATCCACCCACCTATTAAAGGACATTTAGATGGTTTTTACTTCTTGGAAAGGAAAGTTATTTGGGGTGACAGAACTAGTCTGCATCCCAATCATGATGGTGATTACACCTAACCATGCATGTATTAAAACTCATAGGCCAGTAAACCAAAAAGAATAAATTTTAATGTATGTAATTTTTTTTTCAAAAATGCAGAGTAATTTGGTAAGAGAGCTATTAAGTAGATAATTCATAGGTGACATAAAAACCTGAAGGACAAGTTATACATCAGCAAATATTCAATAACAAAGCAAAAATTTCCACCACTGAAACAGCTAGCTTTTCTGTTTGTATTTGTATCTCGCCGAAAATTTACTTGTATCTCGCCTTAAATAAATGCAACTTTTGCATGTATGTAATATTGTTCATCTAGCTCCAATTGGTCCAGATCTTTAGTCTATCCACATCCTTTTCTTACGCAGACACTGCATCAGCATGTATATTGAGGACTTTCCTCCTGGAAATGCAGGCTTCTGAGATAGGAATCCTAGATTTTTAGTAGTTCGTATTCTCAGTCACAATCAATCTAAATATAAAAGTCTTCATGAGATAGAAGAAATATATATAGTCTTCTAAAGGAAATGCCAACTGAAGTTTTGTATATCTGGCTTAATTTTTTGGCTAGTTTACATTATAAAATTGGAGATTTTAAAACTGGGAGTGAATAGTACTCATGACTTCATTAGCAATTTAAAAGTACATTTAATATTTTCATATGTTTAATTGGTCACTGTTAGCATTACCATCCTTTCACTGTTCTGCTGGATAAGCTCTAGAACAGTGAATCATGTAGCATTATACACTGCCTCTAGTCTGCAAAAGCATTTTGGTGTCTCCACTTCAAATATTTTTATCCAACTTTGCACTGATCTTGGGCAAATAAACATTAGTAAGATACAAATTCTGACAGAAAAAGACTGGTTTTGTGGGAGAATATGACTAAACATCATTTCAGAAACACTTTCCTAGAATTATGCCAACTGGAATGGCAGTCTGTAACTTCATTTTTAATGAACGTTAGCCAAAGATGCTACATATTGATTAAATTAAATGTTCAAATCAAAGTGTATTTGTTTATGTGTATATTTACATCTCTATATTTTGAAATAAGTTATTTGTCTCTTATATAGTTCAATTAGTACACACTTCCCTTTTCTCCTGGGCCTGTCATATCTCAGAAGACATCACTGGGAAAATAAGAGGAAAGGAAAAAGAGACCAAGCATGACTTCTAGTTTTGAGTTTGTTGTACCACATAGCTAATTGACTTAATATTGAGCCAGAGGCTCCAACTCAAATCATGTTCGGAGGAGTAGACGGACCAGTGCAGATTCATCATCAAGCATGACAGGTAAGTTTTCTCCAGCTCTTTTTCTTAATCATTTCTTATGATTCTTTTTTCCATTCAATTTTTATTAGTATGAAAAAAAGTGGGAATTTGAAAAGAATATGATAGATGTTCGGAGATTTCTCTAGGCCTTACTTTTGTTACTTTTTATGAAAAATAAAGGTGATATATTATGAAATAATACAGTTTTGTATATTTGAACCCATGTTAATACATATTACATTGTTACTTATCAAATGCTAAACTTTCACTAGATTTTAAAAATATTAAAATTTCATTTCAGCTTTTATATTTCATATCAATAGATAGAGATCATGGTGGAAAGAACATTTATTTACAGTACATATTTTTTTCTAGATAAACAAGGGAAACTGAAGGGAATTTGAAAAAAAAAAGTAAGGAACTGAAAATATTTCATAGGCTTTTGTCTTAATAAAATGCTGAAGTGAAAAGACACCTATGGTTTAGCTCAACTTCTAGGAAGCTGTATCATTGCAGTTGTGAGATTTGAAAGATGGGTCACAACATTCAGCTCAACAAATTTCCATTGGTCACAGCCAGATAATTTTTCACCAGTTAAAGACAGCCTAATGCAATAATATTGAATTAATTTCCTATGGATGTGCTCTAGCTATGAAAAACCTTTAAACTCCAAAGATTGTCAGCGATACTTCAGGGAGCCAAAGAACACTAAATAATATTAATGTGCTCCGAAATCTCGGTACTACTTGCAAAATACCAGTAATCTTTTTAAACAAAGCAAATCTAAAAGGCTGTGAACAAGGTGGATTAGCAATGCATTCTCAAAGTGGATTCCAAAACACTAGAGCTGCAGCCAAATAACCTGGGGTCCCATTTAAAAAACCTGGATCTATGAACCTGGATAAACATGCATTTTTATGGTTTTTTTTTTTTTTTTTTTTTTTTTTTTACCAAATTTTGCTTTCAGCCTTAAATGAAGGTAACAGGATGCTCCATGTCACTAAACTAAAACATCCTGGACACACACTACATTTTTAGAAAATGCTATTGCCAAATTTAAAGCAGATTAGAAGCAGATTTCTTGTATCCTTCACCACAGCTGCAAAGAAGCCAATTTGTATAGCAAGTAAGGCAAACAGCTTAGATGATGTACCAGACCAATTTAAAATGACTTTACTTGAGAATCAAATTCTTCAGGAATATCTATAATTAAATGTTACATTTGGGGCAAAGTATCTAATAAATTAAAATTTTCCAATTCTGGTAGAAATATACATGGAGACTAGAACTAATGTATAAAATAATATACAAAATAGTTGAACTGGGGGCAGGAGGAGTAATGACCAGCTATATTACAAGCAGTACTTTCCCAGGACAGAATAGACCAAGACGTATTCAAAGCCAGAACATATATGAGGCTTCTTTTAGGTCTGCTCATTGCCAGTGGACCCATCGTGTCATTATTTCTAGCTATAACATTTATACATATAAAGATATGTTCCAAAAGTATACAAAAATATTTAAATGTTTAAGCGGTCAATGTGATGCTTCTTTAAAAATAAAACAAACAAGCAAACACAGACACACACACATATACACACACATACACATCTGTATTTTGGAAAGCACACTAGAGTTAATATAATGATCAGAGGAAAAAATTCACTATGTTATCCTTTAAAGGTTTTATAACCAAAACACTTTGGAATATATGATTATAAATTATAAATTTGATCTTTGAATCAGCCAAGGTATATTATTGTAAACTTAAATGTTAGAGTGAGGGTAGCTTGAATAACCAGCCTTATTTTCCAGTTGATTTTTATTTTACAAAGTTAAATAGAAATACTTCTATTAAGTGATATCCCAGTGTGAAAAATAAGCACCACCAAAAGATCTTGAAAGGTTGACTTAAGGAGTAAAATGTAAAGATCATTTCTTGACTTTCTCAAGGATAATGATACCTTTAACATAAATGAACCACTTAGCTCTAAGTCTTAAGACAGCTTCTTTTATGTTGGTAATATATTAATGCATAAATTGTTTAACTTGTGACAGTATACAGTGTAATTTACACTCTGTCACTTTATAAGTAATTCTCATAAAGTGTTTTTTAAGATAATCTACATCAGTTTCTTTGTCTCGCCCATTCCTATGTAATAGATATTTTAGAAAAAGTTTAAAGACATAGACAAATGCATTTATATTAAATTGGTGATTTTTTTGCAACAATGAACTGATATATATTTGATTGTAAGTAAAATATGACATTTTTAAAATTTTCTTTGACTTAATATGCACTTACATACATAGGTCTTGTTTTGCAACTCTTCATATCTCACTTCACAGAATATATTTTCAATTAATTTTAGGATTCACGATAAAGTCTTACAAATAATTGTTACGATATGTATCCATACTATAGACAAATAAAGAAACTTTAGTGAAGACCTTTGTGGTTTCAAACTGAAATGATAAACTCTTCCTTTTAGGAAACATCATTTGTCAAAGGGACAATGCCTAGGGTTGTACACAGTCCCCATGTATATGTGTCCAGAAATGGTATAACAAATCCTATGCAGGCTGTGAAGTTAGGCTAGCCTATGTTTGAATCTTAGATCCTTTATTTATAACATGTGTGGTGTGAGACAATTTAATTAACTTGTGTAAGCTCCAATATTCTCATCTGTAAAGTTTAAATGATAATAGTATTACCTACCGTGTGTGTGTGTCCTTGTTGTGCATCATTACAATGCATACACTGTACTTTATATAATGATTTTATAGAAATTGTAGAAGTGTAGAAGAGCCTCTCTCTCTCTCGTTCCTCCTCCTCTTCCTCCTCCTCCTCTTCCTCCTGCTCCTCCTCTTCCTCCTCCTCCTCCCCTACATCTACATACAGACACACACACACAAACACACACACCGGGGGCAATCATTGCTATTTACTTTGAAGTGGGTTATAAGAATAGACAATTGTGCCTTTTACGAGAAAAAAAAAATGTCAAGTGTCTTTGTGTGTGTGTGTGTGTGTGTGTGTGTGTGAGAGAGAGAGAGAGAGAGAGAGAGAGAGAGAGGTATTTTTCACATACTTCCTTTGGGTATTTTTCTCCGATTCATGAAACTAACCCTTGGTTTCACCCTGAATGATCTGAGAAATCACTGAAGAGATTTTGACACTAGTTATGGTAACTCACTTCTATTAAAGCATAGAACAAAGAAATATATCAGAAAAGATTGAGGATATGGCACTTTTTTCATATTGTATTGATTACCTAGTCAGCTACAGGAATACTGAAATATTAAACAATTCCTAAAAGCTGGACTTACAAGTTTCTTTTAGAAGGTATAGGAGACCCTTAATAACAGTCCAAAATTTTAAAAATTACTTGCTAAAATGAAAACAAAAATATAATGTAGACTTTTTTGATTCAGAATTGTTTAAATAATCAACTTGAATGAAAACTACTAAACTGTTTCCTATACATTTCCAAGTGATATTTTCCCATTTTATGTAGAACAGTCTGGATCAGTGAAGGATTAAAAGAACATAATGACCTAGATAACTTTTGAAACTAATATGCTAAAGTAGAGATGGTCTTCTGTTACTGATAAAATTTTAACTATGATATACAGATAAATGAACTTTTAGTGTTTAAGGTAAATAAAAGATATAGGAAACTAGAGTATTATTTTGTGACAATGAGATGAACTATGCATTCATTTAATATGGAATCACAAAACCATGAGTAGGGGCCAATGTCATTTAACATCATGTATTGAGAAATTTATTGAAAAATTATTCTGCTTGATTTTTGGAATATAATATTTGTAACCCAGTTAATTGTCTTCAAGACATTTGGTATTCTGAGGCCACATTTTTTTAAACCAAATATGTAACGGAATAAATTAACCATATGCTTCAGTTTATGACAACTTACTGTTAAGAAACTATACAAGACCCTTTTATTTTTTTCACAGATTTATTTATTCATTCATTCACTTGCATACCTTTATTCCACCTTCACAGCCTTCCCTTCCTATGGTTTTCTATGAATTTGATATGGAACATTTATTTGTATGTATTTTATGAAACTTTTTTTTGCCTTGTGTTGTTCAACTCTCTTTGTTCTAAACTTTTCCTTTCAAATCACCATAGGCCAGCATGATCATTACAGTGTTTAACAAAACAAAACAAAATAAAACAAATAATATTTAAGTTCAGAAGCACCCTTAATTTTCTTCCTTCACATATGCACATCTTTGATCTCTGTATCTTAATCTTAAATCCCAATCTCCTTCAGATCCCTCCTTTGTTTTCTATTAGCTTTTAATTCTTCAGTCTTTTCACTGCCTTTTGACTGCCTTGAGTTCCTGATTACCTCAGTGGCAGTAACTCATGAGTGGTACACTGTAGATCAAATAACCCCAGGAGTGCTCATTCTTTCTGTATGGTATAAAATGAATTTTATATAGAAAACTTTATATTATGTTATTCGACTCTAAGTCAACCACAAAAAAATCTTCAGATGCCTCTGTTTGACTCTATTTTTTTCTATATTTTCACTGAAATTGATCATAATACAGCTTTTCTCTGTATTAAATATGAGTTTTTGGTTGTCTTGGGGACTTACTTACCATGTACAACACTGATTCTGTGACCAAATGCTTTCTAAATTTCAAACAAGCCAATGAACATTGGGAATGCAACTTGTTGATAAACTTGAGATTGCATTTATTCAATACAATTCACACTGTTGCAAAAAATTTTCCAAGCCCACTGGTGCACTTTGTTTTATTATAAATATCTCATCTGATGTGTCAGTAAGATAAGAGACATATTTTGCTTAGTATTTGAACTATAACAAAAAGGGAAGAAACTAACCTCCTAAACTGCATTCCACTGAGTGATGTGTATGGTGGCATATACATCAGTATTCAATAAAATTTCAATTATGCATACACTTAGGGGCCCAGTGTTTAATGGATAAATCTTGTGCAAAAACCAGGAACATTATTTTAAACAGTAATATGGAGTCTTCTGTCATACTGGTAGTTTGGGAATAAGTGATTCATACTGTTGCTAGGGAGTCTCCATTTCAAACCACATTTCAGACAATAATTAAGGCTCAGAGCACCTTGGGACCTAGTCCCTAAATTACATGCAAGAGACAAATAAAAACAACAACAAAAAAATAAACAACTTTTTAATGCCATAATGAGAGACAGGATTATTATAATTATCAAAACAAGCTTAACTAAAATCTGCCTCAAATGTTAGACTGGCATCATTGTGCCAATTTTCTGAAGTTATTAATATCATAGTGCCAAACACAAATGCTTAAAAGGCATTGGAATCTGGGAAGTAGTCATAAAAATTTGGGCAGACACTCTGTAGCATCAAGAATCAAAAAGTTGGGAACTATAGTCTTTCCTGTGCTCTTAGGCAGGTACCCCCCTCCTGTCTGCCATTTTGTTTCTGTGGCTGAGGAGCTGCCAATTAGGAAATAAAATAAGTTGCTAGTCATACAGTGACACAGGAAGAGTGGACAGTTTAAGTATTCAGGAGGTATTTTGTGAGTACCCTGGTCCACTTCAACCAGGAGCTGTGGTATCATCAGATGCTAGCCACTTTTATTATTATTATTATTATTATTATTATTATTATTATTATACTTTAAGTTCCAGGGTACATGAGCACAATGTGCAGGTTTGTTGCATCGATATACATGTGCCATGTTGGTTTGCTGCACCCATCAACTCATCATTTACATTGGTATTTCTCCTAATGCTATCCCTCCCCCAGGCCCCCACGCTGTAACAGGCCCTGGTGTGTGATGTTTCCCTCCCTGTGTCCATGTGTTCTCATTGTTCAACTCCCACTTAATGAGTGAGAACATGTGGTGTTTGGTTTTCTGTCCTTGTGATATTTTGCTGAGAATGATGGTTTCCAGCTTCATTCATGTCCCTGAAAAGGACATAAACTCATCCTTTTTTATGGCTGCATAGTATTCCATGGTGCATATGTGCCACATTTTCTTTATCCAGTCTATCATTGCTGGGCATTTGGGTTGGTTCCAAATCTTTGCTATTGTGAATAGTGCTGCAATAAACATATGTGTGCATGTGTCTTTATAGTAGAATGATTTATAATCATTTGGGCATATACCCAGTAATGGGATTGCTGGGTCAAATGGTATTTCTAGTTCTAGATCCTTGAGGAATCGCCACACTGTCTTCCACAATGGTTGAACTAATTTCACTCCCACCAACAGTGTAAAAGCATTCCTATTTCTCCACATCCTCTCCAGCATCTATTGCTTCCTGACTTTTTAATGATCGCCATTCTAACTGGCGTGAGATGGTATCTCATTGTGGTTTTGATTTGCATTTCTCTAATGACCAGTGATGATGAGCATTTTTTCATGTCTGTTGGCTGCATAAATGTCTTCTTTTGAGAAGTGTCTGTTCATATCCTTTGCCCACTTTTTGAGGGATTGTTTGTTTTTTTTGTAAATTTGTTTAATTTCTTTGTAGATTCTGGATATTAGCCCTTTGTCAGATAAATAGATTGCAAAATTTTTCTCCCATTGTGTAGGTTGTCTCTTCACTCTGATGATAGTTTCTTTTGTTGTGCAGAAGTTCTTTAGTTTAATTAGATCCCATTTGTCTATTTTGGCTTTTGTTGCCATTGCTTTTGGTGTTTTAGTCATGAAGTCTTTGCCCATGCCTATGTACTGAATGGTACTGCCTAGGTTTTCTTCTAGGGTTTTTATGGCTTTAGATCTTACATTTAAGTCTTTAATCCATCTTGAGTTAATTTTTGTGCAAGGTGTAAGGAAGGGATCCAGTTTCAGCTTTCTACATATGGCTAGTCAGTATTCCCAACACCATTTATTAAATAGGGAATCCTTTTCCCATTGCTTGTTTTTGTCAGGTTTGTCAAAGATCAAGTGGTTGTAGATGTGTGGTGTTATTTCTGAGGCTTCTGTTCTGTTACATTGGTTTATATATCTGTTTTGGCACCAGTACCATGCTGTTTTGGTTACTGTAGCCTTGTAGTATAGTTTGAAGTCAGGTAGCATGCCTCCAGCTTTGTTATTTTTGCTTAGGATTGTCTTGGCTATGCGTGCTCTTTTTTGGTTCCATATGAAATTTAAAGTAGTTTTTTTCCAATTCCGTGAAGAAAGTCAGTGGTAGCTTGATGGGGATAGCATTGAATCTATAAATTACCTTGGGCAGTATGGCCATTTTCACGATATTGATTCTTCCTATCCATGAGCATGGAATGTTCCATTTGTTTGTGTCCTGTTTTATTTCATTGAGCAGGGGTTTGTAGTTCTCCTTGAAGAGGTCCTTCATATCCCTAGTAGGTTGTATTCTTAGGTATTTTATTCTCTTTGTAGTAATTGAGAATGGGAGTTCACTCATGATTTGGCTCTCTGTTTGTCTGTTCTTGGTGTATAGGAATGCTTGTGATTTTTACACATTGATTTTGTATCCTGAGACTTTCCTGAAGTTGTTTATCAGCTTAAGGAGATTTTGGGCTGAGACGATGGGGTTTTCTAAATATACAATCATGTCATCTGCAAACAGAGACCATTTGAATTCCTCTTTTCCTAATTGAACATGCTTTATTTCTTTGTCTTACCTGATTGCCCTGGCCAGAACTTCCAATACTATATTGAATAAGAGTGGTGAGAGAGGGCATTCTTGTCTTGTGCCGGTTTTCAAAGGGAATGCTTCCAGTTTTTGCCCATTCAGTATGCTATTGGCTGTGAGTTTTTAATAAATAGCTCTTACTATTTTGAGATACACTCCATCAATACTTAGTTTATTGAGAGTTTTTAGCATGAAGCTTTGTTGAATTTTGTTGAAGGGCTTTTCTGCATCTATTCAGATAATCATGTGGTTTTTGTCATTGGTTCTGATTGTATGACGGATTACATTTACTGATTTGCTTACGTTGAACCAGCCTTGCATCCCAGGGATGAAGCCAACTTGATTGTGGTGGATAAGCTTTTTGACGTGCTGCTGGATTGGATTTGCCAGTATTTTATTGAGGATTTTTGCATAGCCACTTTTGAAAGCAAAACTTGTAGATTTTCTGCCTCTTGGCAAACATCCTGTTCAGTGTGGAAAGTTGCCACATACTGAGTATTAGACAGGCACCTCAAAATGCTGCATCTCCATGAAGAAAATGTGCAAAATATGTTTCTGCATATGAACTACAAAATGAGTTCCTTATTTGCATGAATATCGGAAACAATAGATGTTCTCCTAAGCAAAGAAATTTATTATGTTTGTTCTAAATAAAGTACTTAAGAACAAACAAATGCTGAATTATATTTTCTTGAATAACTCAGTGATTTTAAGTGTTATCTTAGATCGTGTTAATCACAGTCTTGTCAGGAGACAAATGGCATACTCAAAAGGGATTATTGAAATGAATTTGATAAAAGGTTTATTTACAGGTATGGGCAGAATTAAGGAGAAGCAGTAAGGCATAATAAAATCCCCCAGGGCTGACCACAGCAGAAAGTTTTTACCACACTTAGGACTGAAGAGACAAAGAGAGGATGTGGTTACAGGGACCTTAGGGCAGCTGAAACTGTAGCTGTAAGAGCGGGCTACCTGAAAGGGTCTATGGCCTTGAGTAGAAGCATGCAGTCATTGTCAACCCATGGCTTGCAAGGAGTGAGCTAAGGGAATAAATAATCCAATTTCTTCTTTTCATCTTTCTGAATTCTTCTGACTGTGCTTCCTATTGGCCGCTAAAAACTACAGGGAATGGTAGTCAGGTCACTGTAGTTTACAAAGATAAGCATTGCAAGGTGGAAAGAGAGAGGAGAGGGGAGTAGAGTATATCTGGGAGAAGCAAGCTGAAAACATTTAGCAGTCTATCCCTTTTGACCCTTGGTTTCTACTCTTGTCCTTTATCTGGATGAAAAAAATGTATTCCAACCACAGGAGGTGCAAACATTTCAATTCAGTCACATTCCCATCTGATATCTAAAACACTGTAGCTCTTTGTACGGGATGAGGGAGAGGGATAATTGACATAATATATAGCTGATACCATTTCGTTTCTTTAGCTGGTCACAAGGTCTAAACTGATAATACTAGTTTTATTTTTCTATGACCTATTACACTTTCCATTTTCCTTCTCCCAGCATCTTGGCTAGATATATATATATATATTTTTGTAACCTGGTAGAGTAATAATAAATTTTATTTTCATAATATTTGAACCCTTGATGGTCCTGCTTTTATTAATTGCCTGTTTTCTGTTAACAAAGACTATTGCACTAAGAGGTGCCCCTGAAGTCTCTGGGTTCCAGATATAATTTTCCTTGCTTCCACTTCTTAGAAGCAACCTGATTTCCCCTTGGTAACCAGAATTAATTACTCCGGCCAGTTCAATGACCCTCTTTTCTTGCTGCAGGTTTGGCATCATGAATATGACCAAGAGGCAGTCTCAGCTTCCATCTTATGAGAACCATGGCTATTTCTTACCCTTGAGTGAGGGTGTGCTACCCTTGAGCACTGAGATCTTTAAACACATAAGATCAAAAGCATCAAAAATGAGAAAGAAACATTCTTGTAGGGAGTTATTAGGTGTAAAAATGAGAGTAGTGCACCTACTTCCATCCCTTAAATCCCAGACCCATGCATTCAGTTTATGGGGAAGAGGGCATCATATTTTGGCTACAATTTGAGGAATACAACATATTCTGTATGATAGCATCTCAATATTGCAAGATCCTATCATAAAAATTGTTTCTGGATAGTGGAATAGTGCGGGCTTAAAGCCACCAAATTGTGTGTTTCTGTGCCCATCATCTTATTTCCTTCCGGGCAAAATAATTCCCTTGTTTATAGATGATGTTTTATGGGTATATAAAGCATTCTCTCCATGTAAGTATGGTGGCAATGCCCAGGGAAAACAAATCCAAATCCAGATGATGAGTGTATTCTTGTGAAGACAAATTGCTTTCACTTCCATAATGAAAAAAAAAACCCAATATGATCAATCCACCAAAAGGTAGCTAGCATGTTCCCCCCACATGCTGTACCAAAATGATACCTCAAAATTTGGCCTCTATTAATGAAAGGTAAAGCACTTAGCAGCCACAGAAACAAGATCAGCCTTAGCGAAGGGAAAGTCTTGCTGAAGAAAATATACATAGTCTTCATACTTGTCATCATGGCCACTTTGTCTATGAGTCCATTAAGTAATCACTGTAGAGTAAAAAGAGGCCAAACAATATCCAGATAATGTGTCATTATGTTTAATATAACAGCTTTGGCTGTTTTCTAGTGGAGCACAAATTTACGTGGGAAGTGAGCATCCTCATACTCAGTGCCCATTTTGAGAGATTCATTCACATACCTTTTCCCAAATTCTCTTCACCAATTTTCCAACATTATTTTATCTAGGTCCCTATTTAGCCAGTTTAATCATTAGTCTCCATTTTTTAATCATCATATATCCACACTCAAGTTATCTCTCTTTTTGCATATATTGAACATCTTGGTATAGCACTTGAAATTCTACCCACCAATGGAATTTCCCTTTACCTCAGCTTTCTGGGGTATCCATGACTGATCTTCTAAGTGGCCATCCATTTTTAGCTGGGACTAGCACACACTGAAGACGCTAATATAAACCAGGCTTACCTTTTTTTTTCTCTGCAATAACTGGCCATAGCATGTAGGTTAAAGCAAAGGGAAGAAATAAATAGAAATAGATTATCAAGCAAGTCTGAACTGATGGCTTAGCAATTTACTTGTGACTTCCAGGCCTGCTGAGGCTTTGTCTGGTATATACAAGTTCAATTAAAGGTGAAAAGCTGCTGTACACATCCAGTTTTATGGATCAGATATCACTTAGTTCATTAATAGTAGTTTGGGATTGCATAGTTACTTGGAAATCTCACAGGTGTTCAAGTTCCTTTGGAAAATATTAAGTCAGGAGCTGATTTTCAAATGGAAATAGCTACTAATAAAAAGGCACATTTTTGGGCCAGGCACTCAGGGCAATGGCAGCAGTGGCGCAGACTGCACCATGTAGTACCTGGGGCATCCTGGCGCTGGCAGCGGGTACCACCCAGGCGGGTATGGAGGGACTCCTGGAGGGCCTGCATTTCCCAGAAAAACTCAGGATCCACTATATGATTACTTTGCTGCTGTAGCTGGACATGATGGGCAAATAGATGCTGATGAATTGCAGAGATGTCTGACACAGTCTGGCATTGCTGGAGGATACAAACCTTTTAACCTTGAAAAGAAAAGGCAAACCAGGCCAATTTTAAATTTAAGAAACAGAAACATTTTTCAAGAGAGCTTAACAGATAAAAAATGAAATTATTCTATTTTCTACTTGCCAACAGAGTATCTTATTTTAGGATGCAGTGTGAGAGTTACCATTCAACTGAACAATTAGTTGTCAACCAACCAAAATAAAACATTTCTCTAAGCAAAAAAAAAAAAAAAAAAAAAAGTGGGGGACATATTTTTTCTCAAGCCCTAGGGATCTAAGCTTATTATTTTTCTTATATAATATTGTCAGAGGTTCTATATATCATCTCTGTATACGATAGACACATTCCTAGTTTCAGCTGCCTATAAGTGAATACTCAGTGTTTTGTTCCCTGTAGCTCTTGACTCTACTCTCTAGGGTATCCTTTTTTGCCCACTCGAATTGGGTACTTCAGAAAAAGTGGACCACATTGGTAGTTGAATAGCTTTCACATCTACTATGCTGCAGTTATAAGCAATGAATTAGATGTATACATTGCAAGATGAATGGCATTTAAAGGCATAGTGTGAACTAACAAAAGTAATACACAGGAAAAAATCTATAATATAATCCAATGTTCATAAATTAAAAATATGTTGACACAAAATTGATATCCATTTGAAAGTTCATATACAAAAAATTTACAAAATTAACACGTTAGAGTGGTTACTATGCAAGGGAGAATAAACACGAATATCAATGTTAAAATGAAATGAATAAATAAATGAATGAAAAACGAGACAGATTTTGTCTAGACCAATGAAAAATGTGCCTAACATTGAAGTATATGATCAATTAAAGCTTATAGATCTTGAGTGAGGCTTTTTTTCTAAAATTTTTATTGGCACTGGTGCAAGTTGAAATGAGTAAAAACCATAAGTAACTCTTTGAAGAACATTCAATTACACAATCAAATGTAAATTTATAATAAGCACAAAAATGTCTTATCTATGAAGAGTTAGTTCCAACAAAAGCATAAAATTTGTTTAATCTTCTTTGTTGATAATAATCTTTTTTGCTAAATATGAGTGTTACTTAAAGGATCAGGAAAGTTTAATTGTGATTTTATTAATTTCTATGCACTTGTACCTGGCCCAGCATTGATAATATTTATTTTCAGGTTTTAACCCAGTGTCTTCCATTAAGGGATAATAGCATGTAGTTTTTACTTAGACAACATATTTACTAAGTAACATTCTATTCAATCTTGGTTTGTTTCTTTCTGTGAATCCTCCTTAAAAAATGGTAACGAAACTTTTAAAAATATCTTGGAGATTACTGCTTAAGTGCTGCCATATAAGTAATGAGAATACATATTCTAATGTTTAAAAATCCAGTAACTCTTTTTACCACTTGAGCAAATTTGATGTTGAAACTATTTAAGGTTATTTCTAATTTATTCATGTTGATTAAAGGTAACTTTTTCATAAAATGGGCTCTCACTACTAATTTGCCAACAAATCAAGATGCTCACTCTTTATTAACTTTGTAAACCTGGTAGAATTATGATTTTCAAGGGGACAAGCTGAATATGTTGCACTCCCTGAATAGAAAACTAAGTTTGATTGCTAAGTGGTATTTGGGTTTGTAATCAAACATCACAATTTCATTTATGCAGTCAGTGGGAACTAAGAAAAATTTTTTTAGAGAAACATGTATTTCCTTCTAAATATAATGTATCTTACCCTAATACATTATAAATTATAATTATAAATAAATATAATAAATTATAATATATTATAATAATTATAAAGTTTGATGTTTATACATTATTGATACATTCATATGCAATATGAGGTCATTTATAAATCACTGATAATTTTATCTTATTTCAAACATGACCAACGGTCAAATAGAACATTTAAATAATTTAATCCTGAGTGTGTAACATATATTTTAGCCATTGAATCTTTTATAAAGTATGAACTTTTAGAATTCAATGAAGTAGACAGAAAGGCCTTTTCAAAAAAGATACACACAATAACAAGACAAAATATACTACTTTGCTGCTTTCACCCCATGAAATATATTTGAAAGTTTCCAATACTAGTGCAACAAATTAAAAGTGGCCATACTGTTCCCACAAGGAGGTGGGGTCTATGTCCTTTTTCCTTGAATGTGGGTGAGTTCTAAAACTGATCTGACAATAATACATGGTGGAAGTGATTCTGGGCCAGTAACTAGGTTCAAGTCTTAAGATACTGTCAGGTTTCATTTTCTGTATCTGGTATCATTCTCTCTGGGAGACCTGAGCCATCAAGTAAAATATACGGCTATCCAATACCTCCATACTGTGCCTGTCACATATAGGCACAATGGTCAACAGTTGCAGCTGAGTGTTGCCTTTCAACCATCTGTGCCAAAATATTAGGCATGTGGGTGAAGCTATACTGGACATTCTATACCAGTCCATCTGTCAGTTGAATACCACTAAATGAACTCAGTAGACATCATATTCAACAGAAGAATTATCCAACTTATTTTTGCTTTAATTCCTGACAAAGACACTTTTCTAGACCAAACTCTAGTCAGAATCCTCTAAGGTCTCTCTTCAACAAGGCCTTACTCAACCTTGGCCTATAAAAAAACACACATTTTCAGTACCGGTGATTTTGCCCACACACTAAGAGAGCTGAACAAACGCTTCTAACATAGCTTCTAATAGCTCAGAGTTGCCAAATAATTTGCTATTTGGCCCTACCAACACCTAAAGACAGGTTCCCTGTCTCCCACTCTCTATGGAAGGGTAAGCGCCTAACTGTGATAAATGCCAGTTAGCAAACCAAAATGGGTTTTACATTAACCAATCCCTTTGTCATGATTTTCTGTAAATATCCATTTTCTGGACTTTTTTCAACCATTGTTCCCCTCCTTATTCCCTCATTGTCCCTTTATAGTGCCCAGTCACCTCTGCACAAATGAATTTTGAGTTAAGTTCACATTATAATATACCCCTTATTGAAACAGTTATTACTGATTAAAATCTGTTCTTACCACATTAACTAGTATCCAGCATTATTTTTGACACTTCTTACCCACAAAAATGTGAGCTATAACAAACTGAATATTGTTTTAAAATACATTTGAGTTTTGGGGTATTTTTCTATGCACTAATATACAAGCAGAATAACTGGAAAAGGCACTTTCTGATAAAAATACTATTTACATTTTCTAAATACATATTGTCTACCTGGGACTAGGTTATACTCTGGAATGGTGCTATTAATAAATGAATCAAAGTTTTACCTTTTAAGAGATAGTAGTCAAGATAGGCACAGATATACAATGTAAAAAAATCCAGCTAGAGTAGGAGGTAATATATTATAGTTATCAAAATCATGGAGTTTAGAGTTAGATGAACATGGTCAACTATTCTAGCTCTATTATTCACTGGTTAGGAGTGTTTGGAAATGACTTTTAAATCACTCTGGCCCTTAGTGTTCTCATTAGTGCATCAGGAATTATAAGCCTGTATATTTATATGGTTCCTGTTAGGATTAAGTGAATTAAAGATAACCCAAGCACTGTGTTATCATTTGGTAAGAACTCAGTAAATGGCACTCAATTTTATTACAACAGTTGCCATAATACAAATGTAGGAATCAAAAGAGAGAAAGCCACTTCTATGTGACAAGCAGGAAGAACGTATAAGATGTGGTGATTTGAATTGGCTAACCTAAACACTTTCAGAACCTCCTCTTTTTCATTTCTTTTACTATATAGTATAGAAAGCTAAACATTTACCTTACAAAACTCACTTGCAGGTAAGATCATATACAACATCCAGCTTGACTAATAAAAGCTAAGAAGAAATCATTAATATGGACCCAGGAATGCCTTGAAAAACTAAATTTTTTGGCTCATTTTTCGTTATCCTTCTGCCTCCCACCTGCCTGGAAAGCAGAAATAAGCTGGAGATGAAGCAGCCATCTTGCAACGATCATAATGAAGCATGCGTGTAAGGATGGCGGAGTAGAAGTGTAGAAAAGATCTTCATCCTTGATTATTTCAATAAGCCATAAACCTACCTGGATTGAATCACTCTGCATTTCTTGTATTTGTTTAAACCAGCATTTGTCAGATATATTATTTGTTGCGACTAATTGAAATCCTACCAATACAGAAGGCTGAGTGGAAAAAGAAATCTGGTCTAGGGATTGAAGGATAGACAGGATGTGCTATTTCCAGAGATAGGTAGAAATTTATGGCCTCGACAGGGAATAACATTGAAAGAATGAAAGACGTAAATAAGTCATTAACAGTCATAAAAATAAGAAAACACTACTGAAAAATAGTAACAGTAAACTAAAAGCCTTGATTAAATAAAATCCAAGAAAACAAGCCTGTATTAAATTTTAAAGTTATTTTAATCAAATTTTCTTAAAATTAATGAATTATGAATTAAAGGTAAAGTAGAATATCAAAATTATTACTAAAGTTTTATTTCAAAAATGGAAGAAAATATTCCATTTCTCCAAAGTTACAATTTGTCAGTGGAAATGGATTTATTTGCTAGAAAAGGAAAAAATAATAATTGTCCTTGAAGTTTCAAAAATACAACAAAAGGAAACAGAATGAATTGTATAAATCTCTGCTTATTTTCAACCTAAAAGTAAGGCATTACATGCAATGTGACAGTCTTCTTTTATCTGTTTTTTCTAGTAAGTAAGCACACAAACAAAAACACATTCTGCTTTAGAAGATGAAGAGTATTATATCATATTTTAATGAACAGGTGATCTTCTTTAATGTTTTACTATTCAATATGCTAGAACTCCGAACTCTAAAGCTCATAGCATTTTTATGGCAAGTAGTTTAGGACTGGATTTTTATAGCTATCAGTGTATCCAAGTCTTCTTATTAAGTTAAAACTAAAAACAACCATATACTGTGAACAAATATTTAACCTACAAAATGTTTATATTATTTTCAAAATGACGGTCACCTTTTTAACTGTTAATAAAATAGGTTTAATCTAGAAACTGATCTCTTGCAAAAATATTCTCATTTAGCCAACTCAAAAAACAACTTATAATGCATAGTCCAGGGATGTGATGGAAGTTTTGTGCTTATGCACATATATACCTGCTTTCTACATAGATATACTAAAATTGTGAATCAATCACAACTGAAACACAATTACAGAGAAAGAGGAAGCAATCCACTTTTGAAAATGCAACAAATATACCCATGATATGACATTTAATCCAAGATTCAAGGAGCAATTTTGAATGAAACCACCTTTGCAAAAATTATAACTGAGAAAATCATTACAGCAAAAGACATCTTACCTAATCAACTCCATCTTATTTGCTTCTACCCTCCAAACTGTCTGTGTTTATTAGTGGGTGTAGGCTGAACTAACTTTGGGAGGAACTTAATTTATAGTTTAACTTTGAAACAAAAATGATAACAGCCCTTTCTCAAAACAAATCACTTTCCTGTCTTGAGACTGGACTGCCTTTGCAGGCCTAACGAATTAGCTACAAGATTAGAAATTATGATTCTGAACCTTCCCAAATTGCTCCTGGGGATAATATCACTATTGTAAACCCTAATATCAGTATTTGAGATATTTTGAAGACCTTGCACTCCATGGATTAGCTGGAACCACCCAGATCAATAAACTGGCTCATCTGGTCTTGTGCCCCCCACCCAGGGACTGACTCAACACAAGAGTATTGCTTGGACTACCTATAATCTCACCTCTGACCCGGCCAATCAGCACTCCCTACTTTCCAACCCACTACCCACCAAATTATCCTTATAAACCCCATCCTGAGTTTTTCGGGAGACTGACATCAGTAATAATAAAATTTTGGTCTCCAGTATAGCCAGTTCTGCACGAATTAAACTCTTTATTGCAATTCCCATCTTGATAAATCGACTTTTTTCTAGGCAGCAGGCAAGGAGAACCCACTGGATGACTACATGAATAGTGCAAGATAGAGCCAAATGTAAAGTCATTTCCAACTAAGTAACAGGAGTGCTTTGCTGATAACTAATTAAATTACTATTTTTCTTTGTAAAGGGTATTTTAGGTGGTAAGTTATTTCATATGTGGTATACATTACTTTTTAGAAGTCAATTTTAATCTATAAACTCCATTAAAATAAAATGTACAGAAAGACTAGGTGATGTCAGCAAGGTGGTAAAATAGGAAGCTCCAGACCCTCTAACTCATGGAGATACTGACTCAAAGAAAATATATGAAACAATTACCTTTGTGAGAAACCCAAAAACCTGTTAAGAAAGAGGCTTTTGTACCCTAGATGATTTTGAAACCAGCCACACAGAAGCTGGTAAAAAAAAATCTGTGGCATTCACCAACCATAGTCCCTCCCCGGTACACTGTGATGGTACAATAGAGAGAAATCTCCCAGGTCTTAGCTTCTTCCTGGGGAGAAAAGAGAAGACTGAACCATATATCAAATATTCTGCCTTTTCTTTGGGGTGGTAAGACTGCCTGGGAGACTGCCTTCTGTCTTGCCAGAATATAAGCACTGACAAGAAAAGGCTTCAATTTGGGGACCTATGAGGACGAAGGTGACAATTTAGATTAGCACTTGACCACTCCCTACAGTCCCTCACCTGGCTCAGCATGAAACCAGCAGGAGAAAATCTCTAACTCCCAGAATCAAAAAGATAATAATAAAATCATATCACTAAAAAATATCAATAAAACACAAAGGAAGCTAGCAAAAGAGAAAAAGAAAAGCTACAAGAGAAGCAAATCTTCTAACAAAGAAAAGCCAAGGACTAGATAACTGGCTTCACTTCAGCAATCTACCAAAGCATAAAAAATAAAGTTATTTATTCTCAAACTCTTCCAAAATAATTTAAAAGAACACTTCCAAACTCATTTTCTGAGACTAGTATTATGCTCATAGCAAAGTCACAGAAAGACACCGAGAGAAAAAAAAAAAAAACTAGAAACCAAGACCCCTGATTAATATATATGCAAAAATCTTCAAAAAAATAATAGCAAACAAAATTTAACAGCATGTTAAAGGGACCATACAGCAAGACCAAGTAGGGCTTATTTTTGAGATACAAGGATGGTTCAACTTTCGAAAATAAATCAATGTAATAACCCAAATTAACAGAATGAAAGATAAAATTTACATAATAATTACACCACATGTAAAATAGAATGACAAAGTTCAGCACCCTTTTTTGACAAACACACTCAACAATTTAGAAATAGAAAAATTACCTCATCATAATAAAGGCCATATATGAAATGATCATGGCTAATGTCATATACAACAGTAAAGAATTGAAAGCTTTTTCTCCAAAATCAGAAACAATACAAGAATCTTCACTCTTACCAATGCTATTCGGTGTAGTACTGGAAGTCTTAGCCAGAACAATTAGTCAGGAAGAATAAATAAAAGGCATCAAAATTGGAAGGAAACTACGTCTGTTCATAACTCACATGGTTTTTGTTTGTTTGTTTGTTTGAGATGGAGTCTCACTCTGTCACCCAGGCTGCAGTGCAGTGGTGCTATCTCGCTCACTGCAACTTCCGCCTCCTGGGTTCAAGTGATTCTCTTGCCTCAGCCTCCTGAGTAGCTGGGACTACAGGCACACACCACCACGCCTGGCTAATTTTTGTATTTTTTAGTAGAGACGGGATTTCACCGTGTTAGCCAGGATAATCTCGATCTCCTGACCTCGTGATCCACCCGCCTCTGCTTCCCAAAGTGCTGGGATTACAGGCGTCAGCCACGACGCCTGGCCTCACATGGTCTTATATGTAAACAACCCTAAAGATTTCACACAAAAAATCTGTTAGAATAAAGGAATTCAACAAAATTACAGGATAGTCAATATAAAAATGAATTGCATTTCTGCGTGCTAAGAACAAACAATTTGAAAAGAATATTTAAAAAGCAATCCCATTTACGATAGCATCAAAAAGAATAAAATTCTTAGGAATACAGCAAAAGACTGGTATACTAAAAATTAGCAAATATTGCTGAAATAAAGAAGACCTAAATAAATGGAAAGATATCCCACGTACATGAAGTGAAAATACTGTTGAAATGCCCATACTACCCAAAGTGATTTACAGATTCAATGCAATCTCTATTAAAATCTCAACGGTATGTTTTACAGAAATACAAAAAAAATCCAAAATTTTTATGAAAGCACACAGAATCTTGACTAGCAAGGAAATCTTGATAAATAAGAACAAAACTGGAGATCTCACACTTCCTGACTTCAAAACACATTACAACACTATGGTGATCAAAATAGTATGACACTAACATAAGAGTGGATGTATAAATGAATACAATAGACAGCCTATAAATAGGCCCACACATATATGGTTAAATAATCTTCAACATGGTTGCCAACACTATACAATGGGGAAAAGACTAGTCTCTTCAACAAATGGTATTGGAAAAACTGGTTATCCACAAGCAAAATAATAAAATTGGACTTGATTAAAAATATTATCTCATCAATTTAAATTGCATAAAGATATGTGGTCAATTTATGTTAAGGTGTTTTAGAATTTAGCATAATGTACTGTGTCATTTGATATTACCTTTTAATACTTGGCAAATGTCTTTAGTTTGTGCATAAATGCAATAATTGCATGTGACTTTGATGACCATCATGTATCTACATATGTGTTTATATATATTTTAGGACAGGCATAATAATATTTTCTGTTGATTGAGATTAAAAATTTGTACAAATCTAAAAAGGTTATCATATTCTAAGTCAGAAAGCAACATAATTGCAGTTTAAATCAAACATTGTATACTGAATAAGACACACATTTTACCATTATAATTTTCACAGGGAAAAATGGTTTGGTCACTGTATGCACCCCTCTTCTCTGTTCCATTTTCATATCCTTAGCCAAAAGCACATGTCATGTCAGCATCATATTTTTCCAATTTACAAATCATCAGGAAAATGCAAATAAAAAGCCCAATTAAATATCACCTAACACCTGTTAGGATGGCCATTATATAAATTAAATAAATAAATAAATAGTGGAGATATTGGAAACCTTGTATATGTTGATGGGAATGTAAAATGGTGCAGCCACCATGAAATACAGTATAGAAGTTCCTAAAATAATTGAAAATAAAATTACCATATGAGCCAGCAATTTTATTTCTGGATATTTATTCAAAGGAATTGAAGTCAGGATATCATATATTTGTACTTCTGTGTTTATTACATCATGATTAAGAATAACCAAGAAGTGGAAACAACTTATCTGTCCATTGATGAACGAACTGATAGAGAAAATGTAACATACACTACAACAAAATATAATTCATCCTTAAAAAAGAAGGAAATCCTGTCACATGCTACAACATAGATGAACCTTCAGAACATTATGCTAAGTGAAATCAACTAGTCACAGAAAGACAAATACTCCACAACTCTATTTATACGTATCACCAAAATAATCAAACTCATGGAAGCAGAGGAAATAAAATGATGTTTGCTAGACAGTGGGGAGATGAAGAAATGGGATGTTGCCATTCAATGAATATAGAGTTTCCTTCAAGCAAAATGAAAAATTCAAGAAATCTTCTGTACAGAAATCTGGATATCGTTAACAACACTGTACTGTATACTTAAAAATTTGTTAAGGGATTAGATTTCACGTTGTGCAATTTTTACCACAATAAAAAATTATACACAAAGACAATTTCTCCAAAACTTTAGTTATAAAGGTGATCAATATAGGCTACATAATGACACACCATCTTCCAATGGAACTTCATTTATAAAAGAATTCATGGCAAGTTCCCAAAAAATATGATTTTAATATAGCTTATAGTAACACTTATTTTATTAAAATTATAATGAAACATATATAATTTTCTTTTTGCTTTTTAATGAATTTATCATGGGTTTTCACATGTCCTTGTGATATGTATATAATATCACTTGCCTAGCTAACATTCTTTAGTTAAGTTTTATGAAAAAATTATAGCAGATATATCTAATTTTCATATAATCATAGTAGCATAGATATGGATTCAAGTCTTGTAAAATTAGTCTACACAAATTAAAAACATTATTTATTATTTCAATTATTAACATATTATTAACATACTTGGCCAAAACAAGACTATATGATAGTGGTAGCAATAATTCTACAAAATAATGGCATGCAATATAAGTATAACTAAGACAGATATTATAAACATGTAGATTCTTCACCAGCAAGTTGTAATCACTGCAGATCCATAATGTGTGTTTATGGTTTGTGCGTGTCGGTAACGGAGAATATTTAAGATAAAATGACTATTATCATAAAACATTTTATTAACGTCAATATAATCATCTAATGAAATAGGTCAGGCCAAAAAATTTCTATTGTCTAGGTCACTGCTTCACTTTCCTTTCTTTTTCCACATGTTTTTTCAGCTTGGCTCATGGTGTAGGCTGCAGCCCACCACCTCTTTCATAAAAGTGTGTGGTATCTTTCAGTTTTCCTGTTAAGTTCCTGCATTGATTCCTGGAAAAATGTTTATGATGTGAATCTCTCCAAACCATTTTGTCTTTCTAAGCTGCAGAGGTGTTCTGTCATAAATTACTTCATTTTTGCATTACTTTGCAAACATATTTATAAGATTTTAAAAGTCAGTACTTGTTGAAAAGTTTTACAGCAGTCCTTTTATGCCATGACTTCTGAACTCAATGTTCATATTATTTTTGAATATTACACTCCTGAGAATATCTTCTTGTCGTCTCATACATGAATATGTACTTAAATATACAGAAAGTCTTTTAGTCACATAATTTTCATTCGAAATGTTTATTATACCATTTATTTTCTTCTATTTAATGTGATAAAAATGAAGTTGATTTTTGCTTTATTTAGAGATACATAGTTAAATTCAGGAAATAGAGAAACAAATTATATAATACCTCAAGAAGATAGATAGTTCTCGAATATGTAGCATTCTACAAGAAAACTGACCTGAATTCCTCAAAAAGTCAATGTTATGAGAGAACAAAAGGATTGGAAAACTTTCTGGATTAAAACTGTCTAAAGAGACATAACAACCAAATACAATGGGCAAATGTTATTAGATCTTAGCCCCCAAAAACGAATACTTAAAAAATCCCAGATGTTTTGAAATTGAGGACAACTGGGGACACTTAAATATGGGTAGACACTAGATCATATTAGGTAATTCTATTTAATTGGTAATAACAGCATTGTGGTCATATAACAAAATGTCTCCTTTCTTAGAAGATGCATCTGGAAATATTTAGGGGTAAATTTTTTAAGATTCCTGCAACTTAAATGGCTCAGGATATGAAATGTAAATGTCAGGTGTATATATGTGTGTGTGTGTATACACACACACATACAGAAATGTAGTAGGGTAAAACATTCATAATCATTCAATTTAGTGGATGGGTAGAGAAGTACTCTATTTTCTGTACATTTGACATTTTTTAAAATGAAATTTGAGAGAAAATAAAAAGAACAGTGACGTGATGGTGGTTGCATTTTTTGCTGACTAGATGCTCACAGACATCATTTCTTTTTGAAAAATATCACTATAATGTCATAGATTTTTGTCTCATTTCATAATTTTTGCCTAATATCCTATGTCCTTGCAATTTATTTTTGGCATTGCCTCACTTAATTGGGAGTTAACACTTTGTGTTTCCTTTTAAACTAGTCTCTTCAGAAATTTATCTAGTAGAAATTACTTTAAATTCAGAGCATGTGGTTGATAAACTACTCTGTGTCTGGGAAATGATTTTCTTTGGGTTTTAATTTCTTTAGCCTTTCTTTCTTCATAATGTAGAGAACAGAAATTAGGTATCTGTGCTTGTTCTAAAAATGTCATTGTACCCAGGAGATTGTGGATCTTTATTTATATGGACTTCTTATTCTTCATTTTTCTTGATTTGGACTGAAGGTTGTCTTAATTTTCTTCTGTCTTTAGAAACCAATATCTTATTGAATGTAAGATCTATGTATACAAATTCTCAGGACAAATTGAAAGCAGGAGATGCCAGGTCATGTCAGTAATAAAGAAAATAAATAAAGAAAGAATCCATATTTTTACACAAATAGGCCATCAATGTATGTGTGCTACAATTGAAAACACATGGTTTTACTTCCATTATTCTATGTTCTACCACAATTTAGAACTAGCAAAGTAAGAGTCTTGATGACTTTGCAGGATAGAGAAAATCTAGGGTTGGGAAATTAGAAAGAAAGCATAAATTAAACAAATTCCAAGGATATGAAACAGAAGAAGAGAAAGTGCTTATTAACTAAAAAAAATTCAGAGATTGGTACTGGAAATAGGTAATATGGGTATTCTGAATTTATTCCTGACAATCCTCTTCTAGATGTTAAAACATGACTCATGCCTGTAATCCCACCTCTTTGGGAGGCGGAAGTTGGGGGGTTGCTTGAGGCCAGGAGTTTGAGATCATCCTGGGCAACATTGTGAGACCTCATCTCTACAGAAAATGAAAAAGAATTTAGTTGGGTGTGGTAATATGCAACAGTAGTCCTTGCTACTTGGGAAGTTGATGTGGGAGGATTGCTTGAGCCCAGAAGTTCAAGGTTACAGTGAGTTATGACCATACCACTGTACTCCAGCCTGAGCAATAGAATGAAACCCTGTCTTAAAATCAAACAAACAAACAAACAAAACACATTAATTTCAGCAAGCAGAATATACAGTTTCAATCACTCAGTGGATTACTATGAATTATCATAGCAGGGAAATCAGCTTTGTGGGTTACTTTTTGTTCAGTAATTCTCTGTTTTCTACCATTGAGGGGGCTAAAAGATGCCCACAGTAGTCACACTGAAGACGACTTTGGAAAATACCTCATTTAAAAAATTACCTTCCTTCTTCAAGAAATGAACGACAAATAAAGTTGCAAACAAATATGTGAGCACAAAACCAGAATTCTACAGTATTTTAAATCTCAAGCAACAAATTTAGTCCTTTCCTAGATTCCCATATTAATATTAATTTTCTATTTTTTTCTATTCAGCATTTTGCTTCCATGTTCTGATACTATGTGTGAAGTTGGAGATACAGAGAATGACGCTGATTCACAATAATATTACAATTTTTACATGATGTGTACTTGTCTGATCCTAAGCTGAATCCTTGTTCTAAGGTATTGTGAAATATAACTCTTCTGAATTGAAGTGTAGAAGTAGTGTCAACAAAATTTTATATTAAATTAAAAAATACAAATAAATAAGAAGGCAAGGGTGAAGGGGTAATGGCTATAACAAAAGTGTACTTTTCTAGAAAAAAATCAGCAGCAAGATAAATCATTGCTGTCTCAGAATTTAAAATCATGCTTCAATTTTCAAAAATCTTTTTAATCAAATGTCGTTTTGGTTTAACAAAGAGATGTGCTTGTATATTCTTAGATCATACTTTACAACTCCAAAACAATTTAATCTAGAGTTCAGGCCATTGCTTCCCAGATCATAAAAATCAAGTAGGGTGTTTGTTTAAAATAAATATTTCTTACTTACAAGTTTGGACCGAATGAACCAGAAACCCCAGTGGATGTTCTTAGGAATATGTATTGTATCAAGATATCCACGTGGGAAATTTGGAAAACACCAATTTAAGTTAGAAATGCAAGGATGTCACATTTTTTTTTTAAATTGTTGTGTGTCAATTTTGGTGAGTGGCCGAAGATTAAAATTACACTTTCACTGACTCTGTTTATTTCACTATTATGTCCTGCTTTTTGCTGCAAGAAAATAGGTATTGCATGGAATTTTTATAGCTTTTCAATGGGTAAGTCATAATTACATTTTCCTCTGAATATTGAACCACCTAAATAAACCAACATAAAATATTGAACCACCTAAATTTTAAAGATCTATTCATCACAAATTGTCTACCACTGCCCTTTGAGCAGTAGTTTTAGGAAGCTATAGAATACAGTAATTAACAGTTCAGGCTTGGAATCTAACTACTTATTTTGGGGTCTCTGCCCTGCCACTTACTAAATGGGAGACCTTGATCAAATTATTTAACAAACATATACTTCAGTTTCTCTGAGAGCTTAAAACAGACAAAAACTAGTAACTGACTCATAAGGTGGTTGTGATGAATAGGTTTATTAGTACATACATTGACACCTGGAATCTACTAAGCCTGTAATACATGTTAGTTATTGTATCACCAACATAGAGGTATTGGCAGATAAGCATTAGAATTAAATTATAGCTATAAATAACAAACTTTTGCATTGTAATAATATTTCAAATAGGAGCAATTATACAAGACTTTTTCAAAATCATATACATTCAAGAATTTTGATACTGCTTTCCCAAACATTTAATAATAAATTCTAAATGTAGATTAATTACATACACAAGTAAATAATGTAACACAATTAATTTAAACTCTTTTAATTAAACATTCATGATAATTGAATAGAAGGTAATTCCTAGTTTACCTTTGCTTAGCAATTCTTTTCTTCAAGGAGTATGCACATTAATTAAATAAAAATAATTATAAAACTAATGCATAAAATGCTCAAGAGTTTATTGCTTTAAGTACCCTCAATCATTATAAGAAGGTTATTTATATATGATTCACATTCTATTTTCAAATAGTATATAAATGTATATATATATATACACACATATATATAAATATATATATATACACACATATATATAAATATATATATATACACACATATATATAAATATATAAATATAAATAATTATTGTGGTAAGTCTTCTATAAATTTTTACTAAACCAGTCTCTCTCAAACGTTACTGAACATCTGTATCACCTGAGGAGTGTTTCAAAATGCAGATTCTTCACTGAAGCATTATATCCAGAATTTTTGCTCCATGGATCAGCTTTAATGGATCAAAAGATACATCCTTATACATCCTTAGCCTATCTGTAGGCAGTGAAACTTAGAATAGAAAATAAGTCAAACTTCCAGTGTTTCCAGCTGCCACCGAAACATATTCATATTCTGCTTGTTCCTACTTTCAAGTCTAGTGTCACCGCGCATCACTGAGCAATACATCCTTCTATAAACACTCAGTCCCATAGTTGTCTATAAATCCTCAAATCTGACCTCATTCGCTTTCCCCACTATAGCACACAGACACACATACACACAAACACACACACACACACACAAGCACACACTTCACCACCTTTACTAAATGTTGTAGTTGTCTTTCTGGAGCTCAAAAGTGATCAACAGCAAACATTTCTACATATTCCAACTGTACCTTGAATACGCCTTTCACTTTATTTCACTCAAAAAGATACAGCTTTTTCTAAAGCTCTCTCAAGCACAGCATCCTCCCCATCTGCATCATGCCAGAGCCTGGTGATAGATAAGCGGCTTCCTTACTTCCCACCACTTCCAGACTGTCTTCCTTTTATACAAAAACAAGTTCCTTTCAAATATATCATCGGATTTTACTACTTGCAAGTGCTCCATGTCGCTGACATGTATCAACCTAGACACAATATTTAATTCATACAATATTTAATTTAATACTTATTTTACGGTAGCTCACTTCATCATCATTCCTAAAAACTTCTTTATCCATATAGACAAGAAACTCAAGATGCTAGCTTCTGATTCTTCATCAGGCTAGCTTCTTTTGTCTCATGACTAATGTTTTTATCATCCACCTCAATTCAGCTACACAATCTCATGGTTCTATCTTTGGCTATTGGGTTTCAACCTTTTTAGATCAATATAGTTTACTGTTAACTCCATGGTGTACAAAATATCTGGATGATGTTGGAGAAAACTCACAAAACCATGTTGATTGGATTTGCTGAAAAGTTATGACATAGTTTATCAAGTGAATAATCAACACTGACAAAATTTTTACTACACTTCTCTAAAAATTTCATTTCCTTTTCTCAAAGACAGGTATTTTAACCCTTATTTTTTCTTCTCAAAGTCTTAGTCAGAATCACCTACCTCAGCTAATGACCTAGACATATACTTCATGGAAAAACATGCAATTAGGATATAATGACTTTGACATTCGTATCATACATTCTACCATTATATACACATACACAGTGCTTTCCCTTTTAAAACAGTAGAGAATGAGAAAGAGGACAAGTTGGCTGACTAGATGCTGCCAGGAAGCACCACTTCCATTGAGAGAGCTCAAATTATCCAACAAACCAGGATAATTTGCTGAGAGTGGATGGAGAGCCAATGCTGATGATGAGGCTGAAGAGAGAAAAAACTGGGAAACTTGCACAGGGAACCTGAATGCCAGAGCTAGTTTCTAGTCTTGAATGGCTTTTGGGAAAGAGATGAGGGAGGGAACTTAGGGACAACTCATTCTTATTGTGGTTCTCTGGTATCTCAGCTGTAGGAGACCCTGCATTTCCCATGAACCTGCAACCTGGCAGGGGGATCTCCCCAGGCAGTGAGAAAAGACAGGACTTTTAGAAAACAGCACAGAGCCCAGGAGCTTCAATCCTGGGAAGCTCCAGTGGAGCGAAGCCATACATGCCCATCTCCAGGGCTCCCCATCACCCTCAGGGAGGCACGGGCCCCAGCTGACCTCTGAGTCAGGAAAGTGCAGAGCCAACTTCCGCATGGGACTGGAGCATATCTGCTCTGCAAGCCCTCCTGCCTGCCAGTCCTTCTGAGTCTATGCCAAGCCATCCTGCAGGATTGGATGCACAGTGCAGCCACCACAGCGCAACCTAAGTGCATTGCTGAACCTGAGTAATTTCCAGGTGACCCAGGAGCATATCGGATCTCCCAGGGTAGCCAAAACCTCAACCTGAGCCACGGACATTCTGGACTTCAGCACACGAGTGTGGAGTCAAGACCTGTGGCCGACCCTCAAATGGGAGAGGAGCCTTCGCCCTCAGAGCACTGAGAGGGATGAGACATGCAGGTTCCTGACCTGGAGTGGGAGCAGGGCATGCCTCTTTCCGCAGAGCTGGTCCACAGAGTGTGTGGCATATCTCTCTGCCACAGCCTCTGTCGGAGGGGGCCCCGTGGCCTAGTACACCTAACAAAGTAATGCAGATGCAGTGCTAGCAATCGAAGATGCTCTTTTAAGGCCCAGGAGTGAACCGCGTGAGGGGGCCACTTCTTCCCTCAAACTCACCGCAGAGCTTGCCTGTGAATTCAAGCATGTACAAAAAACCTACACAGTTGAGTATTAACCTAGGTACTGGCCATTACTCTTAAGCGCCATCTACTGGGTCACAGCCCAAACGACAACAACAAAAATGTATCCTACTAACGTACGCAACTGTGAAACCGAGCACCATAATTCACCCACAGGTACAGATTTATAGCCCTCTGAAAGCATTTAGGAATGAAGCCAACTGACTATACTTAAGTCACACCACAGTTAAAAGAACAACAACCCTCTCAGATGAGAAATAATTAGTGCAAGAAATCTGGCAATTCAAAAAGCCAATGTTCCTTTACCTCCAAACAAGTTCACTAGTTCCCAGAAATGTTTTTTAACCAGTGTGAAATGTCTGAAATGACAGATATACAATTCAGAACCTAGATGTCAAGGAAACTCATCAAGATTCAGAAGAAACTTGAAATTCCATCCAGGAAATCCAAAGAATCCAGTAAAATCATCCAAAACCTAAAAGATGAAATAGCCATGTAAGAAAGAACCTAATTGAACTTCTAGACCTGATAAACTCCCTATAAAAATGTCATAACACAATTGGAAGTACTAACAGTAGACTAGACCAAGTAGAGGAAAGAATCTCAGAGCTCAAAGACCAATTCTTCAAATTAACTCATTCAGACAAAAAATTTAAAAATGAATTGAGAAAAATAAACAAAATATCCAAGAAACATGTCATTATGTAAACAAACCAAATCTATGACACATCAACATTTTTGAGAGGCAAGGACAGAGGATAAGCAACTTGGAAAATATATTTAAGGATACAATCCATGATAATTTTCCTAATATGCGTAGAGAGGTTGACATGTAAATCCAAGAAATACAGAGAACCTCAGATAGAAACTACATGACATAACTGTACCCAAGGCACATAGTCATCATATTCACCAATGTCAATGCAAAAGAAAAAAAATCTTAAAGGTAGCTAGAGATAGAGAGGACCAAGTGAAGTACAGAGGGAACCCAATCAGGCATGCAGCAAATCTCTCAGCAGAAGAGATGGGAGACCTATTTTCAGCATTTTTTTAAACATTCCAACCAAAAATTTCATATTCTATCAAAATGTGCTTCATACGTGATGGAGAAATAAAACCCATCTCAGACAAGCAAATACTGAGAGAAAGTACATTTCAACTAGACAAGGCCTACAAGTTGTCCTTAAGAGAGCGCTGAACATGGATTCAAAAGAATGACACCTGCTACCACAAAATCACACTCAAGCCCATAGCACACAGGTGCTATAAAGCAACTACACAATCAAGTATACACAACAATCAGCAAACAACATAATGACAGAATCAAAATCACACATATCAGTAGTAATCCTGAATGTAAATGAGATAAATGTCCGCTTAAAATACAGAGTGGCAGACTGGATGAAGAAGCAAAATCCAACTGTTTGTGGTTTTAAAGAAACCCATCCCACATGTAATGACACCCACAGACTCAAAGTAAAAAGAATGAAAAAGATCTACCATGGAAATGAAAGATGAAAAAGAGGAGGAGTTGTTATTCTTACATCAGATAAAGCAGACTTTAAACCAATGTATTAGTCCATTCTTGCATTGCTATGAAGAAATATCTGAGACTGGGTAATTTATAAAGAAAAGAGGGTTTAATTGGCTCATGGTTCCACGGTCTGTACAGGAAGAATAATTCCAGCATCAGCTCAGCTTCTGGGGAGGCCTCGGGAAACTTCAATCATGGCAGAAGGCAAAGACGGAGCTGGCATCTCACATGACCCGAGCAGCAAGAGAAAGAGAGAGAGGGAGGCGCTACACACTTATAAACAACCAGATCTTGTAAGAACTCTATCAGGAGAATAGTACTAGTGTGATGTTGCCAAACCATTCATGAGAAACTGCCACCATAATTCAACCACCTCCCACCAGGCCCCACCTCCACCACTGGGGATTACAATTCAACATGAGATATGGGCAGGTACACAAACCCAAATCATATCAATCAATAAAAATTCACAATAAGGAGGGGCATTACATAATGATAAAGGGTAGACTCCAACAAAAAACCTTAACTTTCATAAATATATATGTACCCAACTTTGGAGCACCAAGATTCATAAAATAAGTTCCTTTAGGCCTAACAAAAGACCTAGATAACCACACAATAATGGGAGACTTGAACATCCTACTTACAGTATTAAACAGATCATTGAGGCAGAAAACTAACAAAGAAGCTCTGGACTTAATACTTGACCAATAGGACCTAATAGACATCTACAGAACACTCCACCCAACAACCACAGAATGTACATTCTTCTCATCTGCACACAGAAGTATTCTAGGATTACCTAAGTGCTTCTTCATAAAGCAAGACTCAATACATGTTTTAAAAATCAAAATTATACCAAGCACATTCTTGGACCACAGTGCGAAGACAATATAAATAAATATCAAAAATATACCTTAAAATGGCACAAATAAGTGGAAATTAAACAACGTGCTCCTGAATAACTTCCAGGTGAACATCAAAATTAAGGCAGAAATTTAAAAATTACTTTAAATTAATGAAAACAGGGACACAACATACCAAAATTTCTAGAGTGTAGCTGAAGCAGTGTTAAGAGAAAAATTTATAGCCCTTCATCAAGGCAAAGTTTACAATACCTTCATCAAGAACTTAAAAAGATCTCAAATTAACAATATAACTCTGCACCTAAAGAAACTATTAAAAAAAAAATAACCCAAAGCTCCAGAAGGAAAGAAATAACCAAAATTAGAAAATAAGCTAATGAAATTGAAATTCAAAAATCCATTCAAAATATAATTAAACCAAGAGTTGGTTCTCCAAAAAACAATGTAAGATTGATAGACTGTTAGATAAACAAAGAAGAAAAGGAGAGAAGATTCAAATAAGTACATTCAGAAATGACAAAGATGACATTACAACTCATACCAGAAATATAAAAATGATCTTCAGATAACACTATAAACAACTCCTTGCATACAAATTAGAAAATCTAGAGGAAATGGAAAAGGTCCTGGAAACATACAATCTCCAAAGATCAAATCAGGATGCGATTGAAACTCTGAATAGGGTTCAGTATAGAGTTCTGACACTGAACTTGTGATAAAAACAATCTATAAACCCAAAAAAGCCCTGGACCACATGGATTCACAGTCAAATTCTACCAGGCATAGATAGAAGAACTAGTACCAATCATTTAAAAAAATAAAGGAGGAGGGACTCCTCCTTAACTCATTATATAAATCCAGCATCAGCCTAATACGAAAATCTGGCTGAGATAAGACTAATAAAGGAAACTTCAAGCAAATATCCCTGATGAACATAGATGGAAAAATCCTCAACAAAATACTAACAAATCAAATCAGCAGAACATAAGAAAGTTAACTCACCATGACCAAGCAGGCTTTATTCCTAGGATGCATGATTTTTTCAATATTCACAAATCAAAATGCAATTTACCACATAAAGACAAAAGCATAAAACATATGGCCATCTCAATAGATGCAAAAAAGCTTTATATAAAATCCAAAAACTTTTCATGATAAAAACCCTCAACAGACTAGGCATTGCAAGAACATATCTGACAATAATGAACCATTTATGTCAAACTTACAGTCAACATTATACTGAATAGATAATAGCTGGAATCATTCCTCTTGGGAACTGAAATAAGGTGAGGATGCCCACTCTCACCACTCCTATTCAAAATAGTACTGGAAGTCTTAGCCAGGGCAATCAGAAAAGAAAAAAAAAAAAAACACAACCAAATAGGAAAAAAAGAAGTCAAACTATCTCTTTTCACTGATGATATTCTATACTTGGAAAACCCTAAAGACTCCACCAAAAGGCAACTAGAACTGATAAATGACTTCAGCAATGTTTCAGGATATAAAATCAATATACAAAAAATTAGCAGCATTTCCACACACCAACAACATCCAGGTCAAGAGTCAGGTCAAGAACATAATATCATTTACAATAGTCACAAATAAAATGAAATACTTAGAAATAGAATACAGCTCACTAAAGAGGTGAAAGATCTTTACAAAAAGAACTACAACACACCGCTGAAAGAAATTAGAGGCAACACAAATAAATGGAAAGTCATTTCATGCTCATGGATTGGAAGAATCAATATTAAAATGGCCATACTGTCCAAAGCAATTTACAGATTCAACGCTATTCTTATTGAACTATCAACATCATTCTTCACAGATAGAAAAAAATATATAAAACTCATGTGGAACCAAAAATAGCCTGTATAGCCAAAGCAATCCTAAGCAAATAACACAAAGCTAGAGGCTTCACTCTACCTGACTTCAAACTACATTACAATGCTACAGTTACCAAAACAGCATGGTACTGGTACAAAAGCAGACACATAGATCAATGGAACAAATTATGTAACTCAGAAATAAAGCTGCACACCTACAACCATCTAATTTTTAACAAAGCTGACAAAAACAAGCAATGGGGAAGATAACTCTCCATTAATTAAATGGTGATGGATAATCATATGCAGAAGAATGAAATTAGACCCTTTTTTTCATCATATACAAAAATTAACTCAAGATAGATTAAAGATATAAATGTAAGACCTTTAACTATAAAAGTCCTAGAAGAAAATTTAGGATACACCCTTTTTGGTAAATAATTTATGGTCATGTCCACAAAACCAATTAAAACAAAAACAAAAATTGACAAATGACTAATTAAAATGACTAATAAAACATGACTAATTAAACTAAAGAGCTTTTGCACAGCAAAAAACAAAACAAAACAAAAACTAACAACAGAGAAAACAGACAACCTACGGAATGGTAGGAAATGTTTGCAAACTATGCATCTGACAAAGGTCTAATATCCAGAATCTATAAGGAACTTAAACAAATCAACAAGCAAAAACCAAGCAACCCCATTAAAAAGTAGGCAAAAGACCTGGATACTTCTCAAAGGAAGTCATATAAGTGGCCAGCAAATATTTGAAAAAATGCTCATCATCACTAATCATCAGAGAAATGCAAATCTGAAACTGCAATCATATACCATCTCACGTCAGTCATTATGACCATTATCAAAAGGTTAAAAAAAAAGATGTTGGTAAGGCTGCAGAGAAAAGGGAACATTTACACACTGTTGATGGGAACATAGATTAGTTCAGTCACTGTGGAAAGCAGTTTGGAGATGTCTCAGAGAACTTAAAACAAAACTACCACTCAACCCATCAATCTCATTGCTGGGTATATACTCAAAGGTATATAGATTATTATACCAACAAGACACATGCACTTGTAGGTTCTTCACTGTGATATTCACAATAGCAAAGATGTAGAGTCAACCTAGTTGCCCATCAATGGTGAACTGGATAAAGAAAACATGGTATATACACACCACAGAATATGCACAGTCATAAAGAAGAATGGCTAGAGCTGTAGACCATAATCCTAAGCAAATTAACGTAGGAACAGAAAAGCAAATACCACATGTTCTCACATATAAGTTGGAGCTAAACTTAGACCACACGTGGACATTAACATGGCAACAATAGACACTGCAAACTACTGGGAAGAGAGGGTGGCTGGGGGATGAGCTTTGGAAAACTACTTATTTGGTGCTATGCTTACTACCTGGGTCCAATATATCGTATAACAATTCTACACATGTATCCCTTGTATCTAAAATAAAAACTGAAATTAAAAAAAATTTGAAATATACTGAAGAAGGAAGGGATTAAAGCTTTAAGTGTCTGAATAGAACACCTGTAATATGTATGTATACCTACATATGTAATATTTTATATGTGTATATATATATATACACACACACACTTTATTCTCACATGAGAGAACTGAAGAAACATTTAATATGTGTTTAGGGACAGTAAGAATAATGGGTAACTTTTTCTGGTATGAAACAATGCCTCTAGATACCACAGTCTTATTTTATATCTGCCTTCTTTCAAAATAAGCTTGTTGTATATGAAAAAAACAGACCAAGTGTTTGCGCGACTATATAAAATAGCTCTTCCACTTTTCCCTTAATTTCACACATTCATATCTTCTCCATGACCTTTTTTTTTTATTATATCTCTGTTTGACTTCTGTGTTTTCAACTTCTGTCTCTACTGAGTCAATTCAATCAGCATGTATCCATATCTTCACATCCCTTTTTTGTATTTTGAAAACACACACACACACACACACACACACACATTTATTACTGCTACTATGACTACTACCATTACTGACACCTTGAATCCAGATTTTCCTTCAGCTACTTCTGCTGGTAGGAATGGAATTCTTCTAGACAAACCCTATGTTCTCAAGACTGCACCTTTCTAAAGAGATAACATATTTTTGTTTCTATTTGATTTTTGATTACCAGAAAAGGCACATGTCTAGAAGGGATGACTTTGTCCAATTTAGAAAAAGTTTATTCTTTGGTAGGTTAACAAATTCCTTGAGATGATTCAAGTCTCTGCTCCCTTTACGATTCTTCTATTTATGAATTTTTTCTGGGTGATCTCATCCAGTCCTACAACTCCGAACACAATTTGCTGAACTTTTTCTGTAGTCTGGATTTTATATCCAACTACTTTCCTAAATTCTCCACTCACTTGTCTAATGAGCATATCAAAGTCAACAATGCTATAACAGAACTATAATTTTACTCCCAAATCTGTCTATCCAAATATTTTCTATCACAGTGAATCAATGTATTTCCCTCCACCCACTCTTGCAACCCTAGAGGAGCTCTCCATATCACGGTTTTATAAACTTTATAAAACTTAAATCAGATACTACTACTCAAGAGTTTACAATGGATTCTCATTGTATTCAGAATAAAAATCAATATCCATACCATGGCCTACATATTACTACATGACTTTGCCCCTACCTACATCTTCTATATCATCTACTTTCTTTTTTTCCTGCTTCCCTAAGCTCCAGACAAAATGGGTTCCTTTAAGTACCTATTACAAGGCTTTACACTTTTCTAATCCAATTACTTAGGTTTTCCCTTCAAAATTTACATGGTTGATCCCTTCTCATCATTCAAGGCTCAAGTCATATGTCAACTCTTTAGAAACATTTTCTCTAAAATGACCTTTACTAGGGCAGTGGCCATGCTCCACAGCCAGTTCATCTCTGCCATATCACCTTATTCTATTTTCTTCATAGTTACCAAAATCATTTTACTAATGTATTTGCATGTTTATTTTTTCTCCACTAGAATTGTTTAAATGCAGGTACTTTCTTTGACTTATTCTCAGCTGCAGTCTTAGCATTAGACACATAGTCAGGATTCAGATGTAGACTGAATGACAGAATAAAGTGACACCCATAGAGAAGTGTGGATTTACATCCTAGGTCAGTCACAGAATACTCTTGAACAGTTATCAAATTTCTTGTTCAGTTTCTTCATTTATAAAATGTAAACAATAATGATGTCCATCTTTATGGTTTTTCTGCAGGTTAAATGATATAATGTATGCAAATGTGTGTAAGAGGGTTTAGCACACATTAAGAGCTCAAGGAAAACTTATAATTGTGTACATTATATAAAAATAACTTTTACATTAATTATATAATACATACATATCACTAACTAGAACTACCTAACATAATCTGAAATAATTTTGACTTATTATCTATATACTTGAAAAGCTATTCAATGGCTTCTTCAAATATCCAAAGCATGAGATATTGGAAAAATACATTTTGGGTTGAGGTTTTTTAGATGTAAATAAGTTCATAAGCTTGAACAAATTTATTTATGACCAAGATCTATTCTAATTTTAATTATTTTCCATAATATAATATTTATTGATTTTCTGACTTTACATTGGTTTATATAAATATATAAATATTACATATTGGCAATAAGAAAATGAGGGTTGTTTAGTAATTAGCTAAATTATGTGTAATTTGTGTAACAAATCATGTGCCATAATTTACAACATGGCTAAGTTAAAATTCTAATGCTGTGTCTTCCCTAAAGACCTTTTTGCTATATTCTGTGATAGTTTTTAAAAGAGGCAAAAAGCAGAGATTTAATATTGAGCTTAAGCTATGTAACCTTTTTTCAAGACAAAATGGATAATAAAATACAGCAAGAAATATAGCACTCCTGGAGCTACATAATTTGGACACTCTCCTAATGCAATCTGCCATTAGAAACTGTATTAGTTTACAGTCATTATTGCTAGTTGGTACTATTCAAAACACTCTTAAGAATAAATGACCACATAGGCTAAGAAGCAGTCCAATAAATGTGAAAATTCATCTTACGTTATTCCCCACTGACAAAAAATTAGCACTTTCTTAATGGCTCACAACATGTTTAATAGATAAGAAGGAAAGATAGTGTGCAATAAAGTGTAAAGTGAAAAATATTAACTTCAAGTAAATGGCAAATGTTCTCTTTAATTGTAATGCTTTCAGTTTTTTTGGGCTCAGAACTTCTTAAATTTATTACATTCTAATACTTATAAGAGCAAGTGCTGCTTCCATGAACAAAAGTCTTAGTGGAATTTATAGTAATCTGTACCTTAATTGCAAATTTTATGTTCACAAATATTATATTTATATTTTATAATAAAGTGAAAATACAATTGAATTTAAAATTTAAGTACATGAATATGAGTGCAAAGAGGACTACAGACCATTTCCAAAGGTTATACCAAAATAAATGTGGGCAACATTGAATTTTTATCTGTGTGATAGCTAGGAAGTTAATCTTCCATCAGTCTTATCAACTTTCTAAAGGTACCTTACGAAACAATAATAATTATGCATCTTGAATCTGGAGGTCTTCAAATCAAATATACCATCAGTTTTTACAATTTTTTTGGTTTATATGGCTATGAGTCTAATGCAGCCACATCATAAACCAAGTACATCATTAATATCTAAGTTTATTCAGATTGACAGCACTTGTTCCCACATATATATTATGAGAATACATGTAATATATAATGTATATATATACACACATACAATCCTGAGTATGTATATAGTATAAACATATATAATATAATGTATAATATATAAATAATATGTATATAAATAATATATGCATATATTAATATATACCTATATAAATATATAAATATATATACTCTAGACTTACTGGTAAGACATTTGCCCATGAGAGGGTGGGAAATAAATATAACTAAATTAAAGGATCTTCTACCTCAGTGAAATTTCTAGGGAACAAGTGATGTGGGACATGTAATATTTCATCCAAGATGAAGGATAAATTGTTGCATCTGGCTCCTCCTACATCCAAAAAAGGGGCACAATATCTAGTGAATATAGTTAGATTTTGGAGGCAGCATATTTCACATTTGGGTATGTTACAAAGAGTGACCTAAAAATATGCTAGTTTTAAATGGTCCTCAAAATAAGAAAAACCTCTGCAAGAGGCAGGCTGCTGTGCAAGCTGCTCTGCCACATGGGCCATATGATCCAGCAGATCTCAAGGTGCTTGAAGTTTCAGTGGCAGATAGGGATGTTCTTTGGAGGCTCTAGCAAGCCCCTATAGGTGAACAACAGAGCAGGTCTTCAGGATCTTAGAGACTAGCCCTGTCATTATATGAGGATATCTATTCTCCCTCTGAGATACAGCCCTTGGCCTACTATGGGGCCTTTATAGAACTAAATGCTTGAACATAGGTCACCAAGTTACCATGTGAACTGAGCTACTTATCTTGAACTTGGCATCACATGATCAATCCAGCCATAAAATCTGGCATGTACAAAAGCACTACATCATCAAGTAGAAGTGGCATATGCATACTTAGGCCCAAGCAGGCCCAAGTATGTTACATGAAGTGGCCTAAAACAAAATTGACAAAATAAAGGGAATGTATACTTTCGGATTTCCTCAGAGGCTACATTTCCCCAATTAAAACAAAAAAACTGTTCAAATGCCCATGGCTTCCACTCCTACTACACTGTCATCTCTCTCCCAGCCTGCACCTATGGCCTCATGGGAATTTTCTATGATCAATTGACAGAGTAAGAGAAAAATTGAGCTTGATTTATAAATGGTTCTGCACCAAACTCAAGGCACTACCTGAGAGTGGGCAGCTGAAGCACCGCAGCCTCTCTCTAGGACGTCCCTGATAGATAGTGATGAAGGTAAGTCCTTCCAATATAAATAATTTTGGGCACTGAACCTGGTTATGTGCTTTGCTTGGAAAGAGAAAAGACTAGATGAGCAATTATATACCAACTTCTGGGCTGTCATCAATGATTTGGTTGGATGGTCAGAGATTTGAAAGCGCATGATTTGCCAATTGGTAACAAAGAAATTTTGGGATGAAGGATGTGGATAGACCACTCTGAATGGGAAAAAAAAGTGAAGATATTTGTGTCCTATGTGAATGCTCAAAAAAGAGTGGCCACATCAGAGGAGGATTTTAATAGTTAAGTGGATAGAATTATCTTTTCTGCGGAATCCAGTCATCCTATATCTCCAGCCACTTCTGTCATTGCATAATGGACTCATGAATAACGTGGCCATAGTAATAGGGGTAGAAGTTATGAATGTGCTCAGCAATGTGGACTTTCACCTCGCAAGGCCGACTGGGCTATAGCCACCACTGAGTGCCCAATATGTGAGTAGCAGAGAGCAACACTCTGTCCCCAGTATGGCACCACTTTCCATATTTTTACACAAATAGGCCATCAATGTATGTGTGCTACAATTGAAAACACATGGTTTTACTTCCATTATTCTATGTTCTACCACAATTTAGAACTAGCAAAGTAAGAGTCTTGATGACTTTGCAGGATAGAGAAAATCTAGGGTTGGGAAATTAGAAAGAAAGCATAAATTAAACAAATTCCAAGGATATGAAACAGAAGAAGAGAAAGTGCTTATTAACTAAAAAAAATTCAGAGATTGGTACTGGAAATAGGTAATATGGGTATTCTGAATTTATTCCTGACAATCCTCTTCTAGATGTTAAAACATGACTCATGCCTGTAATCCCACCTCTTTGGGAGGTGGAAGTTGGGGGGTTGCTTGAGGCCAGGAGTTTGAGATCATCCTGGGCAACATTGTGAGACCTCATCTCTACAGAAAATGAAAAAGAATTTAGTTGGGTGTGGTAATATGCAACAGTAGTCCTTGCTACTTGGGAAGTTGATGTGGGAGGATTGCTTGAGCCCAGAAGTTCAAGGTTACAGTGAGTTATGACCATACCACTGTACTCCAGCCTGAGCAATAGAATGAAACCCTGTCTTAAAATCAAACAAACAAACAAACAAAACACATTAATTTCAGCAAGCAGAATATACAGTTTCAATCACTCAGTGGATTACTATGAATTATCATAGCAGGGAAATCAGCTTTGTGGGTTACTTTTTGTTCAGTAATTCTCTGTTTTCTACCATTGAGGGGGCTAAAAGATGCCCACAGTAGTCACACTGAAGACGACTTTGGAAAATACCTCATTTAAAAAATTACCTTCCTTCTTCAAGAAATGAACGACAAATAAAGTTGCAAACAAATATGTGAGCACAAAACCAGAATTCTACAGTATTTTAAATCTCAAGCAACAAATTTAGTCCTTTCCTAGATTCCCATATTAATATTAATTTTCTATTTTTTTCTATTCAGCATTTTGCTTCCATGTTCTGATACTATGTGTGAAGTTGGAGATACAGAGAATGACGCTGATTCACAATAATATTACAATTTTTACATGATGTGTACTTGTCTGATCCTAAGCTGAATCCTTGTTCTAAGGTATTGTGAAATATAACTCTTCTGAATTGAAGTGTAGAAGTAGTGTCAACAAAATTTTATATTAAATTAAAAAATACAAATAAATAAGAAGGCAAGGGTGAAGGGGTAATGGCTATAACAAAAGTGTACTTTTCTAGAAAAAAATCAGCAGCAAGATAAATCATTGCTGTCTCAGAATTTAAAATCATGCTTCAATTTTCAAAAATCTTTTTAATCAAATGTCGTTTTGGTTTAACAAAGAGATGTGCTTGTATATTCTTAGATCATACTTTACAACTCCAAAACAATTTAATCTAGAGTTCAGGCCATTGCTTCCCAGATCATAAAAATCAAGTAGGGTGTTTGTTTAAAATAAATATTTCTTACTTACAAGTTTGGACCGAATGAACCAGAAACCCCAGTGGATGTTCTTAGGAATATGTATTGTATCAAGATATCCACGTGGGAAATTTGGAAAACACCAATTTAAGTTAGAAATGCAAGGATGTCACATTTTTTTTTTAAATTGTTGTGTGTCAATTTTGGTGAGTGGCCGAAGATTAAAATTACACTTTCACGGACTCTGTTTATTTCACTATTATGTCCTGCTTTTTGCTGCAAGAAAATAGGTATTGCATGGAATTTTTATAGCTTTTCAATGGGTAAGTCATAATTACATTTTCCTCTGAATATTGAACCACCTAAATAAACCAACATAAAATATTGAACCACCTAAATTTTAAAGATCTATTCATCACAAATTGTCTACCACTGCCCTTTGAGCAGTAGTTTTAGGAAGCTATAGAATACAGTAATTAACAGTTCAGGCTTGGAATCTAACTACTTATTTTGGGGTCTCTGCCCTGCCACTTACTAAATGGGAGACCTTGATCAAATTATTTAACAAACATATACTTCAGTTTCTCTGAGAGCTTAAAACAGACAAAAACTAGTAACTGACTCATAAGGTGGTTGTGATGAATAGGTTTATTAGTACATACATTGACACCTGGAATCTACTAAGCCTGTAATACATGTTAGTTATTGTATCACCAACATAGAGGTATTGGCAGATAAGCATTAGAATTAAATTATAGCTATAAATAACAAACTTTTGCATTGTAATAATATTTCAAATAGGAGCAATTATACAAGACTTTTTCAAAATCATATACATTCAAGAATTTTGATACTGCTTTCCCAAACATTTAATAATAAATTCTAAATGTAGATTAATTACATACACAAGTAAATAATGTAACACAATTAATTTAAACTCTTTTAATTAAACATTCATGATAATTGAATAGAAGGTAATTCCTAGTTTACCTTTGCTTAGCAATTCTTTTCTTCAAGGAGTATGCACATTAATTAAATAAAAATAATTATAAAACTAATGCATAAAATGCTCAAGAGTTTATTGCTTTAAGTACCCTCAATCATTATAAGAAGGTTATTTATATATGATTCACATTCTATTTTCAAATAGTATATAAATGTATATATATATATACACACATATATATAAATATATATATATACACACATATATATAAATATATATATATACACACATATATATAAATATATAAATATAAATAATTATTGTGGTAAGTCTTCTATAAATTTTTACTAAACCAGTCTCTCTCAAACGTTACTGAACATCTGTATCACCTGAGGAGTGTTTCAAAATGCAGATTCTTCACTGAAGCATTATATCCAGAATTTTTGCTCCATGGATCAGCTTTAATGGATCAAAAGATACATCCTTATACATCCTTAGCCTATCTGTAGGCAGTGAAACTTAGAATAGAAAATAAGTCAAACTTCCAGTGTTTCCAGCTGCCACCGAAACATATTCATATTCTGCTTGTTCCTACTTTCAAGTCTAGTGTCACCGCGCATCACTGAGCAATACATCCTTCTATAAACACTCAGTCCCATAGTTGTCTATAAATCCTCAAATCTGACCTCATTCGCTTTCCCCACTATAGCACACAGACACACATACACACAAACACACACACACACACACAAGCACACACTTCACCACCTTTACTAAATGTTGTAGTTGTCTTTCTGGAGCTCAAAAGTGATCAACAGCAAACATTTCTACATATTCCAACTGTACCTTGAATACGCCTTTCACTTTATTTCACTCAAAAAGATACAGCTTTTTCTAAAGCTCTCTCAAGCACAGCATCCTCCCCATCTGCATCATGCCAGAGCCTGGTGATAGATAAGCGGCTTCCTTACTTCCCACCACTTCCAGACTGTCTTCCTTTTATACAAAAACAAGTTCCTTTCAAATATATCATCGGATTTTACTACTTGCAAGTGCTCCATGTCGCTGACATGTATCAACCTAGACACAATATTTAATTCATACAATATTTAATTTAATACTTATTTTACGGTAGCTCACTTCATCATCATTCCTAAAAACTTCTTTATCCATATAGACAAGAAACTCAAGATGCTAGCTTCTGATTCTTCATCAGGCTAGCTTCTTTTGTCTCATGACTAATGTTTTTATCATCCACCTCAATTCAGCTACACAATCTCATGGTTCTATCTTTGGCTATTGGGTTTCAACCTTTTTAGATCAATATAGTTTACTGTTAACTCCATGGTGTACAAAATATCTGGATGATGTTGGAGAAAACTCACAAAACCATGTTGATTGGATTTGCTGAAAAGTTATGACATAGTTTATCAAGTGAATAATCAACACTGACAAAATTTTTACTACACTTCTCTAAAAATTTCATTTCCTTTTCTCAAAGACAGGTATTTTAACCCTTATTTTTTCTTCTCAAAGTCTTAGTCAGAATCACCTACCTCAGCTAATGACCTAGACATATACTTCATGGAAAAACATGCAATTAGGATATAATGACTTTGACATTCGTATCATACATTCTACCATTATATACACATACACAGTGCTTTCCCTTTTAAAACAGTAGAGAATGAGAAAGAGGACAAGTTGGCTGACTAGATGCTGCCAGGAAGCACCACTTCCATTGAGAGAGCTCAAATTATCCAACAAACCAGGATAATTTGCTGAGAGTGGATGGAGAGCCAATGCTGATGATGAGGCTGAAGAGAGAAAAAACTGGGAAACTTGCACAGGGAACCTGAATGCCAGAGCTAGTTTCTAGTCTTGAATGGCTTTTGGGAAAGAGATGAGGGAGGGAACTTAGGGACAACTCATTCTTATTGTGGTTCTCTGGTATCTCAGCTGTAGGAGACCCTGCATTTCCCATGAACCTGCAACCTGGCAGGGGGATCTCCCCAGGCAGTGAGAAAAGACAGGACTTTTAGAAAACAGCACAGAGCCCAGGAGCTTCAATCCTGGGAAGCTCCAGTGGAGCGAAGCCATACATGCCCATCTCCAGGGCTCCCCATCACCCTCAGGGAGGCACGGGCCCCAGCTGACCTCTGAGTCAGGAAAGTGCAGAGCCAACTTCCGCATGGGACTGGAGCATATCTGCTCTGCAAGCCCTCCTGCCTGCCAGTCCTTCTGAGTCTATGCCAAGCCATCCTGCAGGATTGGATGCACAGTGCAGCCACCACAGCGCAACCTAAGTGCATTGCTGAACCTGAGTAATTTCCAGGTGACCCAGGAGCATATCGGATCTCCCAGGGTAGCCAAAACCTCAACCTGAGCCACGGACATTCTGGACTTCAGCACACGAGTGTGGAGTCAAGACCTGTGGCCGACCCTCAAATGGGAGAGGAGCCTTCGCCCTCAGAGCACTGAGAGGGATGAGACATGCAGGTTCCTGACCTGGAGTGGGAGCAGGGCATGCCTCTTTCCGCAGAGCTGGTCCACAGAGTGTGTGGCATATCTCTCTGCCACAGCCTCTGTCGGAGGGGGCCCCGTGGCCTAGTACACCTAACAAAGTAATGCAGATGCAGTGCTAGCAATCGAAGATGCTCTTTTAAGGCCCAGGAGTGAACCGCGTGAGGGGGCCACTTCTTCCCTCAAACTCACCGCAGAGCTTGCCTGTGAATTCAAGCATGTACAAAAAACCTACACAGTTGAGTATTAACCTAGGTACTGGCCATTACTCTTAAGCGCCATCTACTGGGTCACAGCCCAAACGACAACAACAAAAATGTATCCTACTAACGTACGCAACTGTGAAACCGAGCACCATAATTCACCCACAGGTACAGATTTATAGCCCTCTGAAAGCATTTAGGAATGAAGCCAACTGACTATACTTAAGTCACACCACAGTTAAAAGAACAACAACCCTCTCAGATGAGAAATAATTAGTGCAAGAAATCTGGCAATTCAAAAAGCCAATGTTCCTTTACCTCCAAACAAGTTCACTAGTTCCCAGAAATGTTTTTTAACCAGTGTGAAATGTCTGAAATGACAGATATACAATTCAGAACCTAGATGTCAAGGAAACTCATCAAGATTCAGAAGAAACTTGAAATTCCATCCAGGAAATCCAAAGAATCCAGTAAAATCATCCAAAACCTAAAAGATGAAATAGCCATGTAAGAAAGAACCTAATTGAACTTCTAGACCTGATAAACTCCCTATAAAAATGTCATAACACAATTGGAAGTACTAACAGCAGACTAGACCAAGTAGAGGAAAGAATCTCAGAGCTCAAAGACCAATTCTTCAAATTAACTCATTCAGACAAAAAATTTAAAAATGAATTGAGAAAAATAAACAAAATATCCAAGAAACATGTCATTATGTAAACAAACCAAATCTATGACACATCAACATTTTTGAGAGGCAAGGACAGAGGATAAGCAACTTGGAAAATATATTTAAGGATACAATCCATGATAATTTTCCTAATATGCGTAGAGAGGTTGACATGTAAATCCAAGAAATACAGAGAACCTCAGATAGAAACTACATGACATAACTGTACCCAAGGCACATAGTCATCATATTCACCAATGTCAATGCAAAAGAAAAAAAATCTTAAAGGTAGCTAGAGATAGAGAGGACCAAGTGAAGTACAGAGGGAACCCAATCAGGCATGCAGCAAATCTCTCAGCAGAAGAGATGGGAGACCTATTTTCAGCATTTTTTTAAACATTCCAACCAAAAATTTCATATTCTATCAAAATGTGCTTCATACGTGATGGAGAAATAAAACCCATCTCAGACAAGCAAATACTGAGAGAAAGTACATTTCAACTAGACAAGGCCTACAAGTTGTCCTTAAGAGAGCGCTGAACATGGATTCAAAAGAATGACACCTGCTACCACAAAATCACACTCAAGCCCATAGCACACAGGTGCTATAAAGCAACTACACAATCAAGTATACACAACAATCAGCAAACAACATAATGACAGAATCAAAATCACACATATCAGTAGTAATCCTGAATGTAAATGAGATAAATGTCCGCTTAAAATACAGAGTGGCAGACTGGATGAAGAAGCAAAATCCAACTGTTTGTGGTTTTAAAGAAACCCATCCCACATGTAATGACACCCACAGACTCAAAGTAAAAAGAATGAAAAAGATCTACCATGGAAATGAAAGATGAAAAAGAGGAGGAGTTGTTATTCTTACATCAGATAAAGCAGACTTTAAACCAATGTATTAGTCCATTCTTGCATTGCTATGAAGAAATATCTGAGACTGGGTAATTTATAAAGAAAAGAGGGTTTAATTGGCTCATGGTTCCACGGTCTGTACAGGAAGAATAATTCCAGCATCAGCTCAGCTTCTGGGGAGGCCTCGGGAAACTTCAATCATGGCAGAAGGCAAAGACGGAGCTGGCATCTCACATGACCCGAGCAGCAAGAGAAAGAGAGAGAGGGAGGCGCTACACACTTATAAACAACCAGATCTTGTAAGAACTCTATCAGGAGAATAGTACTAGTGTGATGTTGCCAAACCATTCATGAGAAACTGCCACCATAATTCAACCACCTCCCACCAGGCCCCACCTCCACCACTGGGGATTACAATTCAACATGAGATATGGGCAGGTACACAAACCCAAATCATATCAATCAATAAAAATTCACAATAAGGAGGGGCATTACATAATGATAAAGGGTAGACTCCAACAAAAAACCTTAACTTTCATAAATATATATGTACCCAACTTTGGAGCACCAAGATTCATAAAATAAGTTCCTTTAGGCCTAACAAAAGACCTAGATAACCACACAATAATGGGAGACTTGAACATCCTACTTACAGTATTAAACAGATCATTGAGGCAGAAAACTAACAAAGAAGCTCTGGACTTAATACTTGACCAATAGGACCTAATAGACATCTACAGAACACTCCACCCAACAACCACAGAATGTACATTCTTCTCATCTGCACACAGAAGTATTCTAGGATTACCTAAGTGCTTCTTCATAAAGCAAGACTCAATACATGTTTTAAAAATCAAAATTATACCAAGCACATTCTTGGACCACAGTGCGAAGACAATATAAATAAATATCAAAAATATACCTTAAAATGGCACAAATAAGTGGAAATTAAACAACGTGCTCCTGAATAACTTCCAGGTGAACATCAAAATTAAGGCAGAAATTTAAAAATTACTTTAAATTAATGAAAACAGGGACACAACATACCAAAATTTCTAGAGTGTAGCTGAAGCAGTGTTAAGAGAAAAATTTATAGCCCTTCATCAAGGCAAAGTTTACAATACCTTCATCAAGAACTTAAAAAGATCTCAAATTAACAATATAACTCTGCACCTAAAGAAACTATTAAAAAAAAAATAACCCAAAGCTCCAGAAGGAAAGAAATAACCAAAATTAGAAAATAAGCTAATGAAATTGAAATTCAAAAATCCATTCAAAATATAATTAAACCAAGAGTTGGTTCTCCAAAAAACAATGTAAGATTGATAGACTGTTAGATAAACAAAGAAGAAAAGGAGAGAAGATTCAAATAAGTACATTCAGAAATGACAAAGATGACATTACAACTCATACCAGAAATATAAAAATGATCTTCAGATAACACTATAAACAACTCCTTGCATACAAATTAGAAAATCTAGAGGAAATGGAAAAGGTCCTGGAAACATACAATCTCCAAAGATCAAATCAGGATGCGATTGAAACTCTGAATAGGGTTCAGTATAGAGTTCTGACACTGAACTTGTGATAAAAACAATCTATAAACCCAAAAAAGCCCTGGACCACATGGATTCACAGTCAAATTCTACCAGGCATAGATAGAAGAACTAGTACCAATCATTTAAAAAAATAAAGGAGGAGGGACTCCTCCTTAACTCATTATATAAATCCAGCATCAGCCTAATACGAAAATCTGGCTGAGATAAGACTAATAAAGGAAACTTCAAGCAAATATCCCTGATGAACATAGATGGAAAAATCCTCAACAAAATACTAACAAATCAAATCAGCAGAACATAAGAAAGTTAACTCACCATGACCAAGCAGGCTTTATTCCTAGGATGCATGATTTTTTCAATATTCACAAATCAAAATGCAATTTACCACATAAAGACAAAAGCATAAAACATATGGCCATCTCAATAGATGCAAAAAAGCTTTATATAAAATCCAAAAACTTTTCATGATAAAAACCCTCAACAGACTAGGCATTGCAAGAACATATCTGACAATAATGAACCATTTATGTCAAACTTACAGTCAACATTATACTGAATAGATAATAGCTGGAATCATTCCTCTTGGGAACTGAAATAAGGTGAGGATGCCCACTCTCACCACTCCTATTCAAAATAGTACTGGAAGTCTTAGCCAGGGCAATCAGAAAAGAAAAAAAAAAAAAAACACAACCAAATAGGAAAAAAAGAAGTCAAACTATCTCTTTTCACTGATGATATTCTATACTTGGAAAACCCTAAAGACTCCACCAAAAGGCAACTAGAACTGATAAATGACTTCAGCAATGTTTCAGGATATAAAATCAATATACAAAAAATTAGCAGCATTTCCACACACCAACAACATCCAGGTCAAGAGTCAGGTCAAGAACATAATATCATTTACAATAGTCACAAATAAAATGAAATACTTAGAAATAGAATACAGCTCACTAAAGAGGTGAAAGATCTTTACAAAAAGAACTACAACACACCGCTGAAAGAAATTAGAGGCAACACAAATAAATGGAAAGTCATTTCATGCTCATGGATTGGAAGAATCAATATTAAAATGGCCATACTGTCCAAAGCAATTTACAGATTCAACGCTATTCTTATTGAACTATCAACATCATTCTTCACAGATAGAAAAAAATATATAAAACTCATGTGGAACCAAAAATAGCCTGTATAGCCAAAGCAATCCTAAGCAAATAACACAAAGCTAGAGGCTTCACTCTACCTGACTTCAAACTACATTACAATGCTACAGTTACCAAAACAGCATGGTACTGGTACAAAAGCAGACACATAGATCAATGGAACAAATTATGTAACTCAGAAATAAAGCTGCACACCTACAACCATCTAATTTTTAACAAAGCTGACAAAAACAAGCAATGGGGAAGATAACTCTCCATTAATTAAATGGTGATGGATAATCATATGCAGAAGAATGAAATTAGACCCTTTTTTTCATCATATACAAAAATTAACTCAAGATAGATTAAAGATATAAATGTAAGACCTTTAACTATAAAAGTCCTAGAAGAAAATTTAGGATACACCCTTTTTGGTAAATAATTTATGGTCATGTCCACAAAACCAATTAAAACAAAAACAAAAATTGACAAATGACTAATTAAAATGACTAATAAAACATGACTAATTAAACTAAAGAGCTTTTGCACAGCAAAAAACAAAACAAAACAAAAACTAACAACAGAGAAAACAGACAACCTACGGAATGGTAGGAAATGTTTGCAAACTATGCATCTGACAAAGGTCTAATATCCAGAATCTATAAGGAACTTAAACAAATCAACAAGCAAAAACCAAGCAACCCCATTAAAAAGTAGGCAAAAGACCTGGATACTTCTCAAAGGAAGTCATATAAGTGGCCAGCAAATATTTGAAAAAATGCTCATCATCACTAATCATCAGAGAAATGCAAATCTGAAACTGCAATCATATACCATCTCACGTCAGTCATTATGACCATTATCAAAAGGTTAAAAAAAAAGATGTTGGTAAGGCTGCAGAGAAAAGGGAACATTTACACACTGTTGATGGGAACATAGATTAGTTCAGTCACTGTGGAAAGCAGTTTGGAGATGTCTCAGAGAACTTAAAACAAAACTACCACTCAACCCATCAATCTCATTGCTGGGTATATACTCAAAGGTATATAGATTATTATACCAACAAGACACATGCACTTGTAGGTTCTTCACTGTGATATTCACAATAGCAAAGATGTAGAGTCAACCTAGTTGCCCATCAATGGTGAACTGGATAAAGAAAACATGGTATATACACACCACAGAATATGCACAGTCATAAAGAAGAATGGCTAGAGCTGTAGACCATAATCCTAAGCAAATTAACGTAGGAACAGAAAAGCAAATACCACATGTTCTCACATATAAGTTGGAGCTAAACTTAGACCACACGTGGACATTAACATGGCAACAATAGACACTGCAAACTACTGGGAAGAGAGGGTGGCTGGGGGATGAGCTTTGGAAAACTACTTATTTGGTGCTATGCTTACTACCTGGGTCCAATATATCGTATAACAATTCTACACATGTATCCCTTGTATCTAAAATAAAAACTGAAATTAAAAAAAATTTGAAATATACTGAAGAAGGAAGGGATTAAAGCTTTAAGTGTCTGAATAGAACACCTGTAATATGTATGTATACCTACATATGTAATATTTTATATGTGTATATATATATATACACACACACACTTTATTCTCACATGAGAGAACTGAAGAAACATTTAATATGTGTTTAGGGACAGTAAGAATAATGGGTAACTTTTTCTGGTATGAAACAATGCCTCTAGATACCACAGTCTTATTTTATATCTGCCTTCTTTCAAAATAAGCTTGTTGTATATGAAAAAAACAGACCAAGTGTTTGCGCGACTATATAAAATAGCTCTTCCACTTTTCCCTTAATTTCACACATTCATATCTTCTCCATGACCTTTTTTTTTTATTATATCTCTGTTTGACTTCTGTGTTTTCAACTTCTGTCTCTACTGAGTCAATTCAATCAGCATGTATCCATATCTTCACATCCCTTTTTTGTATTTTGAAAACACACACACACACACACACACACACACATTTATTACTGCTACTATGACTACTACCATTACTGACACCTTGAATCCAGATTTTCCTTCAGCTACTTCTGCTGGTAGGAATGGAATTCTTCTAGACAAACCCTATGTTCTCAAGACTGCACCTTTCTAAAGAGATAACATATTTTTGTTTCTATTTGATTTTTGATTACCAGAAAAGGCACATGTCTAGAAGGGATGACTTTGTCCAATTTAGAAAAAGTTTATTCTTTGGTAGGTTAACAAATTCCTTGAGATGATTCAAGTCTCTGCTCCCTTTACGATTCTTCTATTTATGAATTTTTTCTGGGTGATCTCATCCAGTCCTACAACTCCGAACACAATTTGCTGAACTTTTTCTGTAGTCTGGATTTTATATCCAACTACTTTCCTAAATTCTCCACTCACTTGTCTAATGAGCATATCAAAGTCAACAATGCTATAACAGAACTATAATTTTACTCCCAAATCTGTCTATCCAAATATTTTCTATCACAGTGAATCAATGTATTTCCCTCCACCCACTCTTGCAACCCTAGAGGAGCTCTCCATATCACGGTTTTATAAACTTTATAAAACTTAAATCAGATACTACTACTCAAGAGTTTACAATGGATTCTCATTGTATTCAGAATAAAAATCAATATCCATACCATGGCCTACATATTACTACATGACTTTGCCCCTACCTACATCTTCTATATCATCTACTTTCTTTTTTTCCTGCTTCCCTAAGCTCCAGACAAAATGGGTTCCTTTAAGTACCTATTACAAGGCTTTACACTTTTCTAATCCAATTACTTAGGTTTTCCCTTCAAAATTTACATGGTTGATCCCTTCTCATCATTCAAGGCTCAAGTCATATGTCAACTCTTTAGAAACATTTTCTCTAAAATGACCTTTACTAGGGCAGTGGCCATGCTCCACAGCCAGTTCATCTCTGCCATATCACCTTATTCTATTTTCTTCATAGTTACCAAAATCATTTTACTAATGTATTTGCATGTTTATTTTTTCTCCACTAGAATTGTTTAAATGCAGGTACTTTCTTTGACTTATTCTCAGCTGCAGTCTTAGCATTAGACACATAGTCAGGATTCAGATGTAGACTGAATGACAGAATAAAGTGACACCCATAGAGAAGTGTGGATTTACATCCTAGGTCAGTCACAGAATACTCTTGAACAGTTATCAAATTTCTTGTTCAGTTTCTTCATTTATAAAATGTAAACAATAATGATGTCCATCTTTATGGTTTTTCTGCAGGTTAAATGATATAATGTATGCAAATGTGTGTAAGAGGGTTTAGCACACATTAAGAGCTCAAGGAAAACTTATAATTGTGTACATTATATAAAAATAACTTTTACATTAATTATATAATACATACATATCACTAACTAGAACTACCTAACATAATCTGAAATAATTTTGACTTATTATCTATATACTTGAAAAGCTATTCAATGGCTTCTTCAAATATCCAAAGCATGAGATATTGGAAAAATACATTTTGGGTTGAGGTTTTTTAGATGTAAATAAGTTCATAAGCTTGAACAAATTTATTTATGACCAAGATCTATTCTAATTTTAATTATTTTCCATAATATAATATTTATTGATTTTCTGACTTTACATTGGTTTATATAAATATATAAATATTACATATTGGCAATAAGAAAATGAGGGTTGTTTAGTAATTAGCTAAATTATGTGTAATTTGTGTAACAAATCATGTGCCATAATTTACAACATGGCTAAGTTAAAATTCTAATGCTGTGTCTTCCCTAAAGACCTTTTTGCTATATTCTGTGATAGTTTTTAAAAGAGGCAAAAAGCAGAGATTTAATATTGAGCTTAAGCTATGTAACCTTTTTTCAAGACAAAATGGATAATAAAATACAGCAAGAAATATAGCACTCCTGGAGCTACATAATTTGGACACTCTCCTAATGCAATCTGCCATTAGAAACTGTATTAGTTTACAGTCATTATTGCTAGTTGGTACTATTCAAAACACTCTTAAGAATAAATGACCACATAGGCTAAGAAGCAGTCCAATAAATGTGAAAATTCATCTTACGTTATTCCCCACTGACAAAAAATTAGCACTTTCTTAATGGCTCACAACATGTTTAATAGATAAGAAGGAAAGATAGTGTGCAATAAAGTGTAAAGTGAAAAATATTAACTTCAAGTAAATGGCAAATGTTCTCTTTAATTGTAATGCTTTCAGTTTTTTTGGGCTCAGAACTTCTTAAATTTATTACATTCTAATACTTATAAGAGCAAGTGCTGCTTCCATGAACAAAAGTCTTAGTGGAATTTATAGTAATCTGTACCTTAATTGCAAATTTTATGTTCACAAATATTATATTTATATTTTATAATAAAGTGAAAATACAATTGAATTTAAAATTTAAGTACATGAATATGAGTGCAAAGAGGACTACAGACCATTTCCAAAGGTTATACCAAAATAAATGTGGGCAACATTGAATTTTTATCTGTGTGATAGCTAGGAAGTTAATCTTCCATCAGTCTTATCAACTTTCTAAAGGTACCTTACGAAACAATAATAATTATGCATCTTGAATCTGGAGGTCTTCAAATCAAATATACCATCAGTTTTTACAATTTTTTTGGTTTATATGGCTATGAGTCTAATGCAGCCACATCATAAACCAAGTACATCATTAATATCTAAGTTTATTCAGATTGACAGCACTTGTTCCCACATATATATTATGAGAATACATGTAATATATAATGTATATATATACACACATACAATCCTGAGTATGTATATAGTATAAACATATATAATATAATGTATAATATATAAATAATATGTATATAAATAATATATGCATATATTAATATATACCTATATAAATATATAAATATATATACTCTAGACTTACTGGTAAGACATTTGCCCATGAGAGGGTGGGAAATAAATATAACTAAATTAAAGGATCTTCTACCTCAGTGAAATTTCTAGGGAACAAGTGATGTGGGACATGTAATATTTCATCCAAGATGAAGGATAAATTGTTGCATCTGGCTCCTCCTACATCCAAAAAAGGGGCACAATATCTAGTGAATATAGTTAGATTTTGGAGGCAGCATATTTCACATTTGGGTATGTTACAAAGAGTGACCTAAAAATATGCTAGTTTTAAATGGTCCTCAAAATAAGAAAAACCTCTGCAAGAGGCAGGCTGCTGTGCAAGCTGCTCTGCCACATGGGCCATATGATCCAGCAGATCTCAAGGTGCTTGAAGTTTCAGTGGCAGATAGGGATGTTCTTTGGAGGCTCTAGCAAGCCCCTATAGGTGAACAACAGAGCAGGTCTTCAGGATCTTAGAGACTAGCCCTGTCATTATATGAGGATATCTATTCTCCCTCTGAGATACAGCCCTTGGCCTACTATGGGGCCTTTATAGAACTAAATGCTTGAACATAGGTCACCAAGTTACCATGTGAACTGAGCTACTTATCTTGAACTTGGCATCACATGATCAATCCAGCCATAAAATCTGGCATGTACAAAAGCACTACATCATCAAGTAGAAGTGGCATATGCATACTTAGGCCCAAGCAGGCCCAAGTATGTTACATGAAGTGGCCTAAAACAAAATTGACAAAATAAAGGGAATGTATACTTTCGGATTTCCTCAGAGGCTACATTTCCCCAATTAAAACAAAAAAACTGTTCAAATGCCCATGGCTTCCACTCCTACTACACTGTCATCTCTCTCCCAGCCTGCACCTATGGCCTCATGGGAATTTTCTATGATCAATTGACAGAGTAAGAGAAAAATTGAGCTTGATTTATAAATGGTTCTGCACCAAACTCAAGGCACTACCTGAGAGTGGGCAGCTGAAGCACCGCAGCCTCTCTCTAGGACGTCCCTGATAGATAGTGATGAAGGTAAGTCCTTCCAATATAAATAATTTTGGGCACTGAACCTGGTTATGTGCTTTGCTTGGAAAGAGAAAAGACTAGATGAGCAATTATATACCAACTTCTGGGCTGTCATCAATGATTTGGTTGGATGGTCAGAGATTTGAAAGCGCATGATTTGCCAATTGGTAACAAAGAAATTTTGGGATGAAGGATGTGGATAGACCACTCTGAATGGGAAAAAAAAGTGAAGATATTTGTGTCCTATGTGAATGCTCAAAAAAGAGTGGCCACATCAGAGGAGGATTTTAATAGTTAAGTGGATAGAATTATCTTTTCTGCGGAATCCAGTCATCCTATATCTCCAGCCACTTCTGTCATTGCATAATGGACTCATGAATAACGTGGCCATAGTAATAGGGGTAGAAGTTATGAATGTGCTCAGCAATGTGGACTTTCACCTCGCAAGGCCGACTGGGCTATAGCCACCACTGAGTGCCCAATATGTGAGTAGCAGAGAGCAACACTCTGTCCCCAGTATGGCACCACTTTCCAGGGTGATCATCCAGCTACTTGTTGGCAAGTTGGTTACATTATATCACTTCTATCATAAGAGAGACATTGTTTTATCCTTATTAGAATAGACACTGACTCTTACCTTTCCTGCATGAAATGCTTCTGTTAAAACTATCATCCATGGACTTACAGTATGCCTTATCCACTGTCATAGTATTATACACTGTGTTGCTTTTAAACAAGGAAATCACTTCACAGCTAAAAAAGTGTGGCAATGGGCTGATACTTATGGAATTCACTGGTCTTACCATGTTCCACACTATCCTAAAGCAGCTGCCTTGATAGAATGTGGAATTGCCTTTTGAAGACTCTGTTACAGCACCAGGTAGGTGAAAATACCTTATAGGAGTGGGGCAGGGTTTTCCAGATTGCCATATGTGCTTTGAATCAGCATCCAACATATAGTACTGTTCCTCCTATAGCTAGGATTAATAGGTCCAGGAATTAAGGGATAAAAATGGGAGTGGCACCACTCACTATTATCCCGTGTGACACACTAGCAAAATGTTTCTTCCTGATCCCAGGGCTTTATACTCTGCTGGCCTAGAGTATAACAATAATTTTATTGAACTATAAAAAGTTAAGACTGCCACCTAGCTAATTTGGGCTCCTTATGTCTTAGAGTAAATAGTTCAAGAAAAGAGTTACAGAATTGGCAGAGATGATTGATACGGACTACCAGTGGAAAATTAGACTACCACTCTACAATGGAAGTAAATAAGAGTATGTCCGGAATACAAGAGCTCATTTAGGTCTTGTCTTAATATTACCATGCCTTGTGATTAATGTCAATGGCGAGCTCTAACAACCCAATCCAGGGAAGACAAATAAAGGTCCAGACCTTTCAGGAATAAAAGTTGTGATTACCACACCAGTTAAAGAAAGAACTATAATCAGCTAAGGATCTTCCTGAAGGCAAATGTACACAGAATGAGTGGGAGAAGGTAATGATAAATACTAGCTATGATGACATGACCAGTTACAGAACAGAAAACTGTAACTGTCATGAGTATTTCCTTCTTATGTTATAAATACATGTGTATTTATATACATGTATTAATTATCTATCTTTGTTTTCTTTCTTCTCTTATTTCCTTATCATGTAACATAAGATGCATTATTTTAAATCTGTTTTTAAGAAGTTTTAGTTTTACATCATATTAAGTTACAGGGAATCAGGTGAAGACTGAACATCACTTAAAGACTACTTTTTCTGAAGACGGTAGTAGTGTATTTTCAGTTGTATACAGGTTAGTTATATCATATTAGGCAGAATCATTAGCTTCTCCTTGTCTTTATTTGTAGATTATCGTTTAAGGAGATGCATATGAGTAGCAAGTTCAAAAGGGATGGTCTGGTGATGGTTAAGTGTAGGTGTCAACTTGACTGGACAAAGGGATGCCCAAAAGCTGATAAAACATTTTTTCTCTGTGTTTCTCAAAATGATTAGCATTGAATCAGGAGACTAAGTAAAAATGGTCCACCTTCACCAGTGTGGGCAGGCATTATGCCATCTGTTGAAGGCCCAGATATAACAAAAACTCAGAGCAAATTTCATCTTCTCTTTTCTTGACCTGTGACATCCACCTTCTTCCCTTAGACATGAGAGGTGCTGATTCCTCAGCCTGCAGACTCTAAGACTTAAGCTAGTACAACCCTACCCCCAGTTCTCAGGCCTTTGGCCTCAGATTGGATGACACCACTGTCACTCTTGCTCCTCAGGCCATTGGGATTGAATTACGCCAATGGCTTTCCTGGTTCTCCAGCTGGCAGACAGCATGTTATGAAACATTTTGGCCTCTATAATTATGTGAGCCAATTCCTATGATAAATTTTCTCTTCTCTCTCTCTCTCTCTCTCTCTCTCTCTCTCTCTGCATATTGGTTCTATTTCTCTGGATAATTCTGACTAATACATCTTTGTTGAGGAGAATAAAATACTCAGGCATATTTCAAAATGATTACTTTTCCCTCTTTCTGTTAGAAGCATAAGGGGATTTTTATCTTATCTTCACAATCTTTTATCATTTTGTAACAGCCACTCTAACAGGTCTGAGATCATATTCCATTAGGGTTTTAAGTGCATTTTCCTAATGAGTAGTGTTGTGGAGCCTCTTTATTATATCTCTGTTAGCCATTTGTATATTTTTTTGGAAAAAAAATGTCATACAAGGCTTTTGTCTACTTTTTAATATTTATTTTTTCTTTATTTTTTCTATTGAATTGCTATTAATTTGTTTTGAAAAAAGTACATACACACGTGAATGATTTGTATATTTCACACATTAGCTCTTTGTCATATACACTGTTTGCAAACATTTTCTTCTATTCTGTAGGTTGCCTTTTCATTCTTTTTATTATTTCTTTTCCTGTCTAGAAGCTTTTAGTTTGATGCAATCCCAACTACTTTTGCTTCCATTGCCTATGGTTTTTGTGTCATATTCAAGAAAACATCACAAAGACAATGTCAAGAAGCTATTTTCATATGTGTTCTAAGAAATTTATAATGTCAAGTCTTACATTTGTCTTCAATCAATTTTGTGTAAATGTTTGTATATGGTGTAAGAATTCAATTTCATTGTTTTCATATGGATGTCCAGTTTTCCTGATACTATTTGTAGACAAGATTATCTTCTACCCATTATGTATTCTTGGAAACTATGCCAAAGATCAGTTAGTCATATATTCATGAATTTATTTCTGAGCTCTACATTTTGTTCCACTGGGCTATATGTCTGTTTTTACACCTGTACTATACTGTTTTGATTACTGTAGCTCTGCAGTATAATTTGAAATCAGAATGTATGATACCTCCAGCTTTGTTCTTCTCAAGATTGTTTTGGCTCTTTGTGGTCTCTTGTGGTTTCATATAAACTTGATTTTTTTCTATTTTTATAAAATGTCATTGAGATTTTCATAAGGATAGCATTGTATCTGTAGACTGTTTTGGGCAGTATGGGCATTTTGACAGTATTATGTGTTTCAATCCATGAACACAAAATGTCTTTCCATTTATTTATATCATTTTTAATTTCTGTAATCAATGGCTTGCAGTTTTCATTGTACAATATTTTTATCTCTTTGATTGAAACTATTAATAAATACTGTATTCTTTTTGATGCCATTGTAAACGAGATTGTTTTCTAAATTTTCTTTCTGAATAGTTTACTGCTAGTATATATAAACACAACTGATTTTTGTATGTTAATTTTGAATCCTGAAACTTTACTAAATTTCTTTGTTTTAACAGTTTTTTTTTTGGTGGAGATTTTAAGGATTTTCTACATATAAAATATCATTTGCATACAGAGATAATTTTAGTTCTTCTTTTGCAATATGGATTTTTTTTTTTTTGTATCTTATTGCTCTGGCTAGGATTTCCAGTATTATGTTAAATAAAAGTGGGAAGAGTGGTCATCCTCTACTTTGTCCTCATCTGAGAAGAAACATTTTCAGCTTCTTTTCATTACCTATGATATTAGCTGTGGGCTTCTCATTTATGCCCTTTATTATGTTGTGATACATTTCTTCTATACCTAATTTGTTGAAAGATTGTATTATAAAAAGTGTTGACTTTTGTCAAATATTATTCCTGCATCTGTGGATATAATCATATGACTATATTCTTCATTGTGAAAATGTGATTTATCATATTGATTGTGTAATACTGAAACATTCTTTCAACTTAAGGACAAATCTTACTTGGTAAGTGTGTACTATTCTTTTAATGTGATATTGAACTTGGTTTGCTAGTATTTTTTGATGATTTTGCATATATATTCATCAGTGACATTGACTTGTATTTTTTTTTCTTGTGGTGTTTTTTTTCTGGCATTTATATCAAGGGAATCCTGAACTTGTAAAATGAGTTTGGAAGCATTCCTCCCTCTTCCATTTTTTGTTAGAGTTTGAGAAGGACTGGTGTTAATTATTGTTTAAATGTTTGCTAGAATTCACCTATGAAGCTCTCTGTCCCTTGTATTTTCCTTGTTGAGAGGTTTTTGATTAGTAACTCAATTTTCTTAAAAGCCATAGGTCTGCTCAGGTTTTCTATTTCTTCATGAGTCAGTCTTGGTAGGTTATATGCTTCTTGGAATTTATCTGTTTCCTCTAGACAATCCAATTCGTTGATATGTAATTCCTTATAGTAGTCTCTCATAATCCTTTTTATTTCTGTGGCATCAGTGGCAATGTATCCTGTTTCATTTCTTATTGTAAGAGTACAGTTGAATTGTGGAGGAGGGAAAAGGCAGGAATGACAAATCTTGAAAAATTATTCTAAGAAATATAGAGAATAAAATGATGAGAATAAAGACAAAATACTTTACAGAAATATATTTTGGTTTTATTATAATATCAACATATATAAAACACTTCTTTATAATATTTTATAGTCTGAAAAATAGTATTGAATTTACTATTTTCTAACATTATTAATCCTCTTAAGAAACATGTTATTTGTATTTTTTGCATGGTTTTGGTAATGAAAAATGTGATATTGCCACTCCTCATGTTTCTAGCTGACTTCCACTGACTTTTATTTAGACAAGGATCTTTCAAGTTTTTTTAAAATTTGTCTTTTAGAAAAAAATCTCAAAAGAAGCAAAAATTCAAATAGCATTACAAAACTAGAGAAATAAAATCATTGAGGGTAAATCTATCAAAATTAGAGAATCTTACAAAAGACTTCCTGGAATATATTAAACTGTGTAAAACACCTTTTCTTTTTGTCATCGTGATGGTTAGTATTGAGTGTCAACTTGATCGGATTGAAGGATGCAAAGTATTGTTCCTGGGTGTGTCTGTGAGGGTGTTGGCAAAGGAGATTTACATTTGAGTCAGTGGACTGGGAAAGGCAGACTCACCCTCAATCTGGGTGGGCACCATCTAATCAACTGCCAGTGCAACCAGAATAAAAAGTAGACAGAAGAACGTGAAAAGGCTAGACTGGGTGAGTCTTCTGGGCTCTATCTTTCTCCTGTGCTGGATGCTTCCTGCCCTTGAACATCAGACTCCAAGTTCTTCAGCTTTGGGACTCTTGGACCTTCGACCACAGACTGAAGGCTGTACTGTTGGCTTCCCTAGTTTTGAGGTTTATGGGACTCGGACTGGCTTCCTTGCTCCTCAGCTTGCGGATGGCCTATTGTGGAACTTCACCTTGTGATTGTGTGAGTCAATACTCCTTAATAAACTCCCCTTTATATACACATATATCCTATTAGGTGTGCCCCTCTAGAGAACCCCGACTAATACAATTATACTATGCTTTCTGGAAATATAAGGAGAAATGTGAATATAAGCCATATTTGTTTCATTTTATGATGAACAGAACAAAAAGTTATAACTTAACCTATAATTTACAATTGGAGTGCTAATGGGTGACAACCCATTTTTGAAGACTTGTAATTGAAATTTATTTATAAATAAATATATTTTTACTTACAATAAATGACATTTCCTAATTTATACCACTTTCTTCTTAACATGTGTTGCAGCATTTAGTAAGTAAGAGTTACCATTGACATTGCCGCTTGACACTAATATTTGATCTTCCATTTTAAGACACATGTATCATCCTTATAGAGCCAAGGTACTCATGTGTTCTTGCCAAGATATTCTAGAATAAATGTTTTGTCATCTTCAATGTATACAAAATTTTTAAAAAGAAATATAATTCAATTTATAGTGTTTTAAAATAAATGAATAATTTTTGTATAAGGCTAACATGCTAATTAAGAACACATTTATATATCAAATACTGGAATAACTACCAAATATTAATGATTAAGAAATATTTCTTACCTAAAACATTGTTGACTGAAAACTTCAAAATTAATTGTATCAGGTATTCTGAATTTCATTTATTTTATATTATCACACATCTAGATCATCTATAAGCATTCTGTACCAGATCTCTCCAATTGAATTGAATTGTATATCATTTGTAAAATTAATGCTAAATAATACATACACAAATGATAGATTTGATGGGTAGAATGGAAGAAAATTTATGTTTATTTGTGTTTTCCTCCTCTGGAGTAAATACAAATAGTGAATGAAACTTAGTGAATAAACACCTGAAATAAAATTATTTTTTGAGAGCTTAGATATAAATGATGTGATGCAAATCAAAGTTTCATCCCTTTATCTACTTCTCAGCATATATTGGAAGTGAGTAAGATTAAAAGATTGTTATGTATCTCTGAAAGGAAATATCAAATGTGTGAATTATTAAATATGAGCATGATATACCTCTCATTAAATATTTTCTAAACTTTCTCTTGCTAGCACTTCGTTTTTTTGAAATCCTGTAATATTTTATTAGAATTTTACAGTTTTAACCACATAATGCCTGCTTTTTTGGTTGTTTAAGAACATGTCTTATCTGTATTTCAGGAATGAAAACTTACTTAAAGCAAGGGTCAAGTCTCACACACACTTTTATCTCCAATTTAGCACTTGAATTTTTATAGCATTCTGAAGAAACTATTATTTTTGCACCAAATTATCTTTTTGATTATTGTAGTTTTATTGTCTTTTGGGTTCTATATTCTATCATCAGGCTTAAAGAAAAAGAGGGACTATTTCACTTTCACTCTACTACCCCCAAAAGAGGGTAAAAACAAAGGAAGAGGAGGGGCCAACATAGAAAAACTGTGAAAAAAATAAAGATAAATAAAAATTATATTATTGAGAAATTCTAATATGATATTTAAGCAAAGCTATTTAAAACAGGAAATACAAAAGTGTAGATACTGTATGATTACATTTTTATGAAACTCTAGTGAAGGCATAACTTAACTATAGAGACAAAAACCAGTTCAGGGTTTACATAAAGGATGAGTATAAACCTAAGTGAATATTTTGGGGTGATACAAATTTTATCTGGTGATTACACAGTGCGTATATTTAAAGTGTATATGGTGATTACACAGTGCATATATTTAAAGTGGGTGCATTTTATTGTAGTAAAATTGCACCTCAATGCATATTATTTTTTTAAATTGAAAAGTCTAAAAATAGTCCTAATAAAGTCATAATATTCAGAAACAAAAATCTTAGTAAGTATAAAGAAAAATATGGAGGTGCAGACAGGACTGGAGAGTTGAAAAAGAGGTAGTAGAAATTATAAACCAATACTTTTCTAATCTTTAATAAAATAAAATGAAAATGTATCAAACAATGGAAAACAGAAGAAAATAATTAGCAAAATCAAACCAGAATGTTAAAAAAAAATGCATGGGAAATGGCTGATGTGGCAAATTTAAGAGCGATTTTTAAAGCAAAGTAGTAAATTAAACGGATAGTTGCTTATCTGTTTTGGCCCAAGCACAATAAAAGTCCAGTGTTGTAATCATTATTTCAATAGACCCTCAAAAGACAATCAATAAAATCAAAGTGGTCAAATTTTATCCCTATCAAATCCAAAATAATCAACTGAAGTACAAGAGCAGATAGATTACATAACAGAACAGAATAAAATACTAAGAATATTGACATGAGAAAAGACAATAATTTGGTGGTAATTATATAGTCCTGAGAAAAAATAAAATATAATCTTAATCCATTTCTAACACCAAAAGTAAATGCCAAATATATACAAGATTGAGCTATTAAAATATAATTAGAGAAGTAACAGCTCTTGCAATGCTAGGATTAGCAACCTTTAAAAGTATGACATGAAAGCAAAATATGTTATTAAAAAGTTATAGGTTTGAATATATTAAAAATGCAATAAACTTTGATGATATACCAAACAACACAAGTAAAATGGAAATCAAACTGCAAAATGGAGGAAAAAATTTCCAACATTTTGACGGGAAGTTAGTATCTTGAACCACAAGGAATATGTATAAATCAGTAAACAAAAAGGGGCCTAACATTTCAGTACAAAAATTGGCAAAAAGGCAAAAAATACATTGAAGAAAGTTTTTATTTTCAAGATGGCTGTCTGGGGATGTTTGATGCCAGTTATCCTCAGAAAGAAGTGAGAGGTGACAGCGTGCTGGCAGTCCTCAGAGCCCTCGCTTGCTCTCGGCACCTCCCCTGCCTGGGCTCCCACTTTGTGGCATTTGAGGAGCCCTTCAGCCCCCCACTGCACTGTGGGAGCCCCTTTCTGGGCTGGCCAAGGCCAGAGCCCACTCCCTCAGCTTGCAGGGAGGTGTGGAGGGAGAGGCACGAGCGGGAACTGGGGCTGCATGCGGCGCTTGCGGGCCAGCTGGAGTTCCGGGTGGGTGGGGGCTTGGTGGGCCCCGCACTCGGAGCAGCCAGCCAGCCCTGCTGGCCCCGGGCAATGGGGGACTTAGCACCTGGGCCAGTGGCTGTGGAGGGTGTACTGAGTCCCCCAGCAGTGCTGGCCCACCAGTGCTGCGCTCGATTTCTCGCCGGGCCTTAGCTGCCTTCCCGCGAGGCAGGGCTCGGGACCTGCAGCCCACCATGCCTGAGCCTCCCACCCACTCCATGGGCTCCTGTGCGGCCTGAGCCTCCCTGACGAGCGCCACCCCCTGCTCCTCGGCGCCCAGTCCCATCGACCACCCAAGGGCTGAGGAATGCGAGCGCATGGTGCAGGAGTGGCAGGCAGCTCCACCTGCAGCCCCAGTGTGGGATCCACTAGGTGAAACCAGCTGGGCTCCTGAGTCTGGTGGGGACCTGGAGAGTCTTTATATCTAGCTCAGGGATTGTAAATACACCAATCAGCACCCTGTGTTTAGCTCAAGGTTTGTGAGTGCACCAATCGACACTGTATCTAGCTGCTCTGGTGAGGACGTGGAGAGTCTTTATGTCTAACTCAAGGATTATAAATACACCAATCGGCACTCTGTATCTAGCTCAAGGTTTGTAAACACGCCAATCAGCACCCTGTGTTTAGCTCAAGGTTTGTGAATGCACCAATCGACACTGTATCTAACTGCTCTGGTGGGGCCTTGGAGAATCTGTGTGTGGAAACTCTGTAGCTAAGTAATCTGATGGAGACGTGGAGAACCTTTGTATCTAGCTCAGGGATTGTAAACGCACCAATCAGTGCCCTGACAAAACAGGCCACTGGGCTCTACCAATCAGCAGGATGTAGGTGGGACCAGGTAAGAGAATAAAACCAGGCTGCCCGAGCCAGCATTGGCAACCCGCTCGCGTCCCCTTCCACACTGTAGAAGCTTTGTTCTTTCGCTCTTTGCAATAAATCTTGCTACTGCTCACTCTTTGGGTCCACGCTGCTTTTATGAGCTGTAACACTCACTGCGAAGATCTGCAGCTTCACTCCTGAGTCCAGCGAGACCACGAGCCCACCGGGAGGAATGAACAACTCCAGAGGTGCTGCCTTAAGAGCTGTAACACTCACTGCTAAGGTCTGCAGCTTCACTCCTGAGCCAGCGAGACCAAGAACCCACCAGAAGGAAGAAACTCCGAACACATCTGAACATCAGAAGGGACAGACTCCAGACGCGCCACCTTAAGAGCTGTAACAGTCACCGCGAGCGTCCGCGGCCTCATTCTTGAAGTCAGTGAGACCAAGAACCCACCAATTCCGGACACAGAAGGAACAAAATTACAGGTGAATAATGATAACTCAAATAGAATATGAAGGGAAGAGTGCTGGATCCTAGTGGAGAACTCATGGGAAGAAGCTAAGGCACAGAAAAACAAAGAAGGAAGAGACTGGCAGAGATCAGCTAGAAACCATAAGAGACTCGGTATTTCATTGAAAGTATAGGTGGAGATGTTTTTGACTCTTCTCAAACCTGTGGCAGGCTGCAGGTATCCAAACTGACAGAGGGCTCCTCTGATTTCATGAATTCAATCACTGGTGTGGACAGTGGTTTGGGAATTTCTGGAAGGCATTACACCAGACTACCCACTTGCACCAGGTTTCTCATCCTATCCCAGGTTCCAAGCTGCAGTGGCAGGGTGCCATACGGGGGGTGCAGCCATTGAGGAACTATGTCAGAACCAGGAAGCCTCAGTTCTCTCAACTCTTTTGTCTACACATTGCCAGAGCCCCTGCAGATATTACCCAGCACTCACTCAGATTGTGGCAGCCACACGAGAGTGACTGGACCCAGAGGAGCTTCAGGGTTTTAGACGACAGGGACTGTTGCTCCTAAGCAAAGGGAGAAAGCAGTGCATCAAGGAAGCACCCACTGGGACAAAAGAAAGCAGAGAAGCCATTTTCCTGTGCTCAAATTCTTCCCCCTTCTGGGCTGAGAGTGACGGCACCACTTCCAGTGGGGACGTGGGCACTGTGCTTAGCTCTACAAGAAAGGAGTGTGGTTCCATCTCAGTGACCCAGTGACCCAGTGGCCTCAGTGCTTGGGCTAAGGTGTGGAGAGGAAGGCACTGTGGCAGACACAGCCATGTTTGCTACCCAGAGGAAAGTGGCATGGGCATGCCAGAATATGGCCATTCTAGGGCTATTGGAGTGACTGCACCCCCACTGATAGTATTCCCACTGAGCATTGGCTTGCACAAAAGGTGGGGCACCTGCCCCTCTCTGCATGGAGCATCAGCATTCTTTCTCACAGTGGAGAGCAGGAGACCCACAAAGCTGTGTGTTTTGGGCTAAGGAAGAAGGTCCTATACAAAATATGTCCCAACAATGAGTCAAGGGTCAGGTGTCTTTCATGGCTTTGGGCAACATTGCAGCCTGGAGATAGACAGTGGTGTATGCCCATTCTGAGTGTCTCAAGCACTGGGACATGGTTGTGACAAGGAAGGAGATCACATTCACACCTGCCAAGGCCATGGATCTAGAATAGTCACCTCCCTCTCTGTGTGGTGGCCTTGGTGCATTACACCAGGCACTGTCCTTGGTGCTCACATCAGGGCTGGTACTTGTGCCCACCATTGGTGTATCCAAGAGTGGGCATGACAGAAAAGGTCCACCCACCTTTGCCCCCCTAGAGGGGCTGAGTAGGAAGCTTTGGCCACTGTGCATTCCACAGACTGTCCCATTGCCTGAGGCTACATAGAGCTTCTCTCAATAAACAATAATCAAGCATATAACCTTCTGTGTCTGTTGCAGCTGGCTCTTACCCATAAACACCACCTACTTGCCTGGAGATTGAACTGCACAACCCAATACAAAATCTGTTGACACAAATGCACAGCGATGGGGAATGAGATGATCTTCCTGAGACCTTCAACAATTTGGCTATGCAGGAGGCCGTGAGCATGTTCACAAACCCAACACAATGCTACTAAAACCAGAATTTGAAGAAGCTAACACACAAAGGCTATCTATAACCAAGAACATCATCCAGAGTCTTTCCTCCTGAAATAACCCCGAAGCCAAACTACCCTACACACATATATTGTAGCCGCATCCTCAAGGAGAAAAACAAATCACGTTCAAATGCAAATAAATTCAAACATAATAATAAGAGATATTTTATCCAGAAGAAAATTAATCAGAGAAACATTCTGGAAGTATACAAAAAATAAAGTGTTGAAACACCCTCAAAGAATCAGACCTTTATATGAATGGATATTAAACAAAATTAAACTTTGAAATAACAGATAAATAATTCAAAATACTGATTTTAAAGAAATTCCAGCAGATACAAAAACAGTTGGAAACCAACAAAAGAAAATAAAAAAAAAATTCAGATATATCGGGGGAACCCATCCCCAATATTTCAACATAGATTCTTTTTATTTTCCCTAAGTGTTGGCCAGTCTGAGAAATAAAGAGTAAGAGTACAAAAAGAGGAATTTTACAGCTGGGCTGCTGGGGGTGACATCACATATCGGTAGGCCTGTGATGCCCGCCCGAGCTGCAAAACCACCAGGTTTTTATTGAGGATTTCAAATGGGGAGGGGGTTCAAGAACAGGGAGTAGGTCACAAAGATCACATGCTTCAAAGGGCAAAAAGATCACAAGGCAAAGGGGAAAGCAAAGATCACAAGGCAAAGGGCAAAATTAGAATTACTGATGAGGGTTTATGTTCAGCTGTGCACATTATTGTCTTGATAAACATCTTAAACAACAGAAGACAGAGCTCGAGAGCAGAGAACTGGTCTGACCTCAAATTCACCAGGGTGGGGATTTTCCCCACCCTAGTGAGCCTGAGGTTACTGCAGGAGACCAGGGCATATTTCAGTCCTTATCTCAACTGCATAAGACAGACACTCCCAGAGCGGCCATTTATAGACCTCCCCCCAGGAATGCATTCCTTCCCCAGGGTATTAATTATTAATATTCCTTGCTGGAAAAAGAATTGAGTGATATATCTCCTACTCCCATGTCCATTTATAGGCTCTCTGCAAGAAGAAAAATATAACTGTATTCTGCCCGACCCCGCAGGCAGTCAGACCTTATGGTTGTCTTCCCTTGTTCCCTGAAAATTGCTGTAATTCTGTTCTTTTTCAAGGTGCACTGATTTCATATTGTTCAAACACACATGTTTTACAATCAATTTGTACAATAGTGGTCCTGAGGTGACATACATTCTCAGCTTACAAAGATAACAGGATTAAGAGATTAAAGTAAAGACAGGCATAAGAAATTATAAGAGTATTATTTGGGAACTGATAAATGTCCATGAAATCTTCACAATTTATATTCAGAGATTGCAGTAAAGGCAGGCATAAGAAATTATAAAAGTATTAATTTTGGGAACTGATAAATGTCCATGAAATCTTCACAATTTATGTTCCTCTGCTGTGGCTCCAGCCGGTCCCTCCATTCTGGGTCCCTGACTTCCTGCAACACAGATACAAAGGAAAAATTTACCAAAGAGCTAGATATTAAAAGACAAACAACCACAATTTCTGGACATAAAAAAAAATTTAACTAGGAATTACATAATCTGATTGAAAACTTTAAAATACACTAGGTCAAGAAGAAAGAATCTTAAGGCTTGAAGACGGGTTTTTCAAAATAACCCAATCAGACAAAAAAGAAAAAAAAAGAATAATAAAAATGTAAATAAAACCTTCAAGAGGTGTGGGAATTATGTAAAACATTCAAATCTACAAGTCATAGAAATTCCTGAGTAAGAAGAAAAAGTAAAGTGTTTGGAAAACCTATTTGAGGAAGTAATTGAGGCAAACATTCTCATCTTGCTAGTTATTTAGACATCCAGATACAAGCGGTACAGAGAACTCAAAGAGGATACGTTGCAAGACAGACTTCAACAAAACATATAGTCATCAGACTATCTAAAGTTAACATGCAGGAAAAAATACTAAATTTACCAAAGGAGAAGCATCTAATCACCTATAAAGGAAATTCAATCAGACTAACAGCAAACTTTGCAGTAGAAACCTTACAAACCAGAAGAGATTTGGGTTCTATTTTAATACTTCTTAAAAAAAACACTGGCAACCACATTTTGTATCCTGCTAAACTAAGCTTTGTAAATGAAAAAGAAACAGTGTTTTCCAGACAAAAAGAAATTCTGAGAATTTGTCACCACTAGACCAGATCTATAAGAAATGCTGAAGGGAGCTCTAAACGCTAAAACAAAATGTCAACACTTGCTATGTTAGTCTGTTTGTGTCACTATAAAGAAATAACTGAAGGTGAGTAATTTACAAAGAAAAAAGGCTTATTTTGCTCATGGTGATTTGGAATATTCAAGCATGGCACCAGTATCTTCTCAGCTTCTAGTGAATCCTCAGGAAGATTTTACCCAGGGAAAAGGTAAAGAGGAAGGAGGTGTGTCACATGGCAAGAGTGAGAACAAAGAGAGAGAAGAAGGTTCTAAGCTCTTTTAAATAATCATCTTTCATGTAAACTAATAGAGTGAGAACTCATTCACTGCTGTGAGGACAGCATTAAGTCATTTATGAGAAGTCCGCCACTATGAATCAAACAGTTCCCACTTGGCCCTGCTTCCAAAATTGGGTATCACGTTTCAACATGAAAGTGACACACATCCAAACAATATTATTTGCCATCATAAAAGACTCAGAAGCATAAAGCTTATAGTTCTTATAAACAATTACAATTGAGGCTACAAGTCAACTAGGTAACAACATTACAAAAGGAAAAAAAGCTTATATATCAATATTAACTTTGAATGTAAATGGATTAAATGTTCCACTTAAAAGATATGGATCAGCAGAATAGAGAGAAAAAAAAAACAGGATGGAACCATATGCTGCTTATAAAAGATTCAACTAACTGAAAAATATACTGACACATTAAAAGTAAAGTGCTTTAAAAAGACATTCCATGCCAAAAAAAGTTAGCAGGAGTAGCAATACTTATATCAGGCAAAACAGACTTTTAATAAACAACAGTGAAAAAATCCAAAGAAGACAATCAAATGATAAAGGGATCAATTTACCAAGAAGATATAACAATCCTAAATTGACATATATCTTAACCAACACCACCCAGATTAATAAAACAAATTGTTCTTTTTTCCTTTTTTTTTTTTTTATACTTTAAGTTCTGGGATCCATGTGCAGAACATGCAGGTTTGTTACATAGGTATACATATGCCATAGTGGTTTGCTGCACCCATCAACCTGTCATCTACATTAGGTATTTCTCCTAATGCTATCCCTCCCCTTGCCCCCCAACCCCCAACATGCCCCAGTGTGTGATGTTCGCCTCCCTGTGCCCATATGTTCTCATTATTCAACTCCCAATTACGAGTGAGAACATGTGGTGTTTGGTTTTCTGTTCCTGTGTTAGCTTGCTGAGAATGATGGTTTCCAGCTTCATCCATGTCCCTGCAAAGAACATGAATTCATCCTTTTTTATGGCTTTATAGTATTCCATGGTGTATATGTGCCACATTTTCTTTATCCAGTCTAACATTGATGGGCATTTGTGTTGGTTCCAAGTCTTTGCTCTTTTGAATAATGCTGCAATAAACATACCTGTGTATGTGTCTTTATAGTAGAATGATTTCAAATCTTTTGGGTATATACCCAGTAATGGGATTGCTGGGTCAAATGGTATTTCTGGTTCTAGATCCTTGAGGAATCACTACACTGTCTCCTACAATGGTTGAACTAATTTACACTCCCACCAATAGTGTAAAAGTGTTCCTATTTCTCCACATCCTCTCCAGCATCTGTTGTTTCCTGACTTTTTAATGATCACCATTCTAACTGGTGTGAGATGGTATCTCATTGTGGTTTTGATTTGCATTTCTCTAATGACCAGTGATGATGAGCTTTTTTTTTCATATGTATGTTGGCTGCATAAATGTCTTCTTTTGAGAAGTGTCTGTTCATAGCTTTCTCCCACTTTTTGATGGGGTTGTTTGTTTTTTTCTTGTAAGTTTAAGTGCATTGTAGAGTTTGGATATTAGCCCTTTGTCAGATGGATAGATTACAAAAATTTTCTCTCATTTTTGTAGGTTGCATGTTCATCCTGATGAGAGTTTCTTTTGCTGTGCAGAAGCTGTTTAGTTTAATTAGATCTCATTTGTCAATTTTGGCTTTTGTTGCCATTGCTTTTGGTGTTTTAGTCATGAAGTCTTTGCCTATGCCTATGTCCTGAATGGTACTGCCTAGGTTTTCTTCTAGGGTTTTTATGGTTTTAAGTCTTACATTTAAGTCTTTAATCATCTGGAGTTAATTTTTTAGCTATAAAGTTCACAGTTAAATGTGCAGATTTCTTACATAGGTAAACTTATGCCATTGAGATTTGTTGTACAGATTATTTCATCACCCAGGTATTAAGCCTAGTACCCATGAGATATCTTTCCTAATCCACTTTTTGCTCCCAACCTTCACCTTCTGATAGGACCCAGTGTCTGTTGTTCCCCTCTATGTGTTTATGTGTTCTCATCATTTAGCTCCCACTTATAAGTGAGAACATGCAGTATTTGATTTTCTGTTCCTGTGTTAGTTTGCTATGGATAATGATCTCCAGCTCCATTCATGTTCCTGCAAAGGACATGATCTCATTCTATTTATGGCTGCATAGTATTTCATGGTGTATATGTACCACATTTTCTCTATTCGGTCTACAATTGATGAGCTTTTAGGTTGATTTTATGTTTAGTTCTGTGAAGAATGTCATTGGTAATTTAATAGGAATAGCATTGAATCTATAAATTGCTTTGAGCAGTAAGGCCATTTTTAAAGATAATGATTCTTTGTATCCATGAGCATGGGATGTTTTTCCATTTGTTTGTGTAATGTCTGATTTCTTTGAGCAGTGCTTGGTAGCTCTCCTTGTAGATGTTTTTCACTTTTCTGGTTAGCTCTACTCTCAGGTATTTTATTATTATTATGACAATTGTAAACAAGATTCTGTTCTTGATTTGGATCTCAGCTTGACTGTTGTTGGTGTAAAGAAATGCTAGTGACTTTTGTACGTTGATTTTGTGTCCTGAAACTTTGCTGAAGTTGTTTTCCAGATTAAAAAGCTTTTGGGTGAAAACTTTGGGGTTTTCTAGATATAGGATCATATCGTCTTCAAACAGGGATAAGTTGATTTCCTCTCTTCCTATTTGAATGCCTTGATTTCATTTTCTTGCCTGATTCCTCTGTCCAGACCTCCAATACATATTGAATAAGAGTGCTGAGATAGGGCATCCTTTTCTTTTGCCAGTTTCCAAGGGGAATGCTTTCAGCTTTTGCTCATTCGGTATGATATTGGCTGTGGGTTTGTCATAGATGGCTCTTATGATTTTAAGGTATATTCCTTCAATACTTAATTTCTTGAGAGTTTTTAACATAAAGGAACATAGAATTTTATTGAAAGTCTTTTCTGCATCTATTGAGATAATCATGTGGTTTTTGTTTTTAGTTCTGCTTATGTGATAAATCACATCTTTTGATTTGCATATGTTGAACCAACCTTGCACCCCAGGGATAAAGCCTAGCTGATTCTGATGGATAAGATGTTTTTGTGCTGCTGGAATTGGTTTGCTAGTATTTTGTTAAACATTTTTGTATCTATGTTCATCAAAGATATTGACCTGAAGTTTTATTTTCTTGTTGTGTCTCTGTCAGTTTTGGTATTGGGGTGTTGCTGACGTCATAGAATTAGTTAAGGAGGAATTCCTCCTCCTTAATTTTGTGGAATAGTTTCAGTAGGAATGGTACCAGCTCTGTACATCTGGTAGAATTCAGCTGTGAATCTATCTGGTCCTGTTGTTTTTTGGTTGGTAGGCTATTTATTACTGCCTTAATTTCAGAACTCATTATTGGTCTATTCAGAGATTCAGTTTCTTCCTGGCTTTGCCTTGGGAGGGTATATGTGTCCAGGAATTTATCAATTTATTCTAGATTTTCTAGTTCATGTGCATAGAGGTGTTTATAGTATTTTCTGATGGTTGTTTGTATTTCTGTGAGGTCAATGGTGATATCCCCCTTATCATTTCTGATTGTGTTTATTTGATTCTTCTGAGATTTTTTCTATCAGTTTAGCTAGTGGTCTATTTTATTATTTTTTTTCTAAATCAACAGCTCCTAGATTCATTTATTTTTGAATCTCCTTCAGTTTAACTGTTATGTTGGTTATTGCTTGTCTGATAGCTTTTGGGTTGATTTTCACTGGGTTCTTTAGTTCTTTTATTTGTGATGTTAGGTTGTTAAATTGAGATCTTTAAAAGTTTTTGATGTGGGTATTTAGTGCTACAAATTTCCCTCTTTTTTTTTTTTTTTTTTTTTTTTGATGGAGTCTCACTCAGTTGCCCAGGCTGGAGTGCAGTGGCACAATCTTGGCTCACTGTAATCTTCACCTCTCAGGTTCAAGTGTTTCTCCTGCTCCAGTCTTCAAAGTAGCTGGGATTACAGGTGCCCACCATCATGCCTGGTTATTTTTTTTTATTATTTTTAGTAGAGATAGTGTTTTTTCCATGTTGGCCAGGCTTGTCTCGAACTCCTGACCTCAGGAGATCCACCCACCTAGGTCTCCCAAAGTGCTGGGATTACAAGCTTGAGCCACCTTGCCGTGCCAGATTTCTCCCTTAACACTGACTTAGCTGTTTCCTAGAGGTTCTGGTACGTTGTATCTTTGTTCTTATTAGTTTCAAAGAACTTCTTGATTTCTGCCTTAATTTCATTATTTACCCAAAAGTCATTCAGGAACAAGTTACTCAACTTCCATGTAGTTGTATGGTTTTGAGTGAATTTCTTAGTCTTGATTTTCAGTTTGATTGTGCTGTGGCCCAAGAGGGTAGTTATGATATCAGTTACTTTGCATTCATTGAGGAGGGTTTTATGTCCAATTATTTGATTGATTTTAGAGAATGTGTAATGTGGTGATAAAAAAAAAAATGTATACTCCATTGTTTGGGGGTGGAAATTTCTGTAAATGTCTATCAGTTCCATTTGATCAGTGCTGAGTTCAGCTCCTAAATATCTTTGTTAATTTTCTGCCTCCATGATCTGTCTAATGTTGTCTGTGGGTTGTTAAAGTTTCTCCCTTTTATTGTGGGGGCAGGAGTCTCAGTCTCTTTAAAGGTCTCTAAGAACTTGCTTTATAAATCTGGGTGTTCTTGTGTTGAGTACATATATATTTAGAATAGTTAGGCCTTCTTGTTGAATTAAACCCTTTATCATTATGTAATGTCTGCTTTTAAAAAAATCATTATAATTTAAAGTCTGAATGAAACAAATGATAGAACTAAGAGATAAATATTAATACAATAATAGTGGCGGACTTCAATCCCCACTGACAGCACTAGACAGATTATCAAGACAGGAAATCAGCACAGAAATACTGAACTTAAATGGGCCTCTAGACCAAATTGACCTAACAGACATTTACAGAATATTCTACCCAACAACCAAAGAATATACAATCTTCTCATCAGCATATGCACCATTTTCCAAAATAAACTATATGTTAGGTTACAAAAGAAGTCTCAGTAAATTTTTGAAAATCAAAATTATATCAAGTATCATTTCAGATCATAGAGAAATGAAAGAAGAAATCAGTTCCAAGACAAACTCTCAAAACCACACAAATACAGGAAAATTTAAAAACTTGCTCCTGAACAGTGTTTGGATAAATAAAGTAAGAGGAACATTTTAAAAATTGTAACATATAAAAATAGAGAAACACCATATCAAAACCTTGGAGATACAGCAAAAGCAACGCTAAGAGGGAAGTTTGGAGCATTAAATGCTTATATCAAGAAGACAGAATGATCACAAATTAATAACAGCATGTCACACCTCAAGGAACTAAAAAATAAAGTAGAAACCAAATTCAATGCTAGCAGACGAAAAGGAATAAATAACAAAGTTTACAGCATCACAGCAGAACTAATTGAACTTGAAACCAAAAAACCATACAAAGTATCAGTTAAACTAGTTTATTTTTGAAGCGATAAACAAAATTAATTGAATGCTAGCTAGATTAAAAATAGAGAAGATTAAAAAAAGCACAATTAGAAATGAATAAGAAGATATTACAACTGATACAACAGAACTACAAAATATTATCAGAGGCCGGGTTCGGTGGCTCATGCCCGTAATCCCAGCACTTTTGGAGGCCGCGGCGGGCAGATCACCTGAGGTCAGGAATTTGAGACCAGCCTGGCCAATGTGGCAAAACCCTGTCTCTACTAAAAAGACAAAAAATAGCCGATAGCATGGTGGGCACCTGTAATCCCAGCTACTCGAGAGGCTGCAGCAGGAGAATTGCTTGAACCCAGGAGGCAGAAGCAGAGGTGGCAGTGAGCTGAGATTGTGCCATTGTACTCCAGTCTGGGAGACAGAGCATCACTCTATCTCATATATATATATATGTATATACACACACACACACACACACACACACACGTGTATATATATAACATGTATACATATATGTATATGTACTCATATATATTCATATATGTATATGTACTCATATATATTCATATATGTATATGTGCTCATATATATTCATATATGAATATGTACTCATATATATTCATATATGAATATGTACTCATATATATTCATGTATGAATATGTCTTCATATGTATTCATGTATGTATATGTCTTCATATGTATTCAGGTATGTATATGTCTTCATATGTATTCAGGTATGTATATGTCTTCATGTGTATTCATGTATGTATATGTCTTCATATGTATTCATGTATGTATATGTATTCATATATTCATGTATGTATATGTATTCATATATATTCATGTATGTATATGTATTCATATATATATTCATATATGAATACATATTCATATATACACATATATGAATACGTATTCATATATGAATACGTATTCATATATATTCATATATGTATATGTATTCATATATGTATATATATTCCTATATGTATATATATTCCTATATATTCATATATGTGTATATATAATATTATAATATATACATATATATATTATTAGAAACTACTATGAATATCTCTATAGTCATGAACTAGAACACTTAAGGAAACAGATAAATTCCTGGAACATATAACCTCTCAAGATTGAACCAGGAAGAAATAAAAATTTTCTATAGACCAACAGTGAATAGTGGGATTGAATCAGTACTTTAAAAATCTCCCCACAAAAAAGAAGCCCAGGACCAGATGGATTCACAACCTAATTCTACCAGAATTACAAAGAAGAACTGGTACCCACTGCAATAGTTTCAACAAATTAAGGAGAAATGAATCCTCCCTAACTAATTATATGCAGCTAGTTGCACTCTGATACCAAAGCCAGGCAAAGAAACAATTAAAGGAAACTGCAGACCACTATTCTTGGTGAACATAGATGCAAAAATTCTCGACAATATATGAGTAAACGAAATCCAACAGCTCATCAAAAAAAGTAATGCACCACATTCAAGTGGATTTTATCCTAGAGATGCAAGGGTGGTTCAACATATAGAAATCAATAAATGCAATTCACCACATTAACAGAATTAAGGACAAAAACCATATGATCATCCCAATAGATTAAAAACATCTTTTTATAAAATTCAGCATTGCTTCATAATAAAAACACTCAACAAACTATGCATAGAAGAAACATACCCCAAAATAATAAAAAACCATATATAATAAACCCATAGCCAACATCATAGTAAAAGCTTTCAGCTTTTCTTCTTAGAAATGAAAAAAGAAAAGGATGCTCACTTGCACCACTCTTATTACAACATAGTACTGGAAGTCCTAGCCAGAGCAATCAGGTAAGAGGAAGAAATAAAAGGCATCCAAATTGAAAAGAGAAAGCCTAATTATTTCCATTTGTTTATCATGTGATCTTATACATAAAAAACCCTAAAGACTCCACCAAAGTACTCCTAGATCTAATAAATGAATTTAATAACATTTCAGGATACATCAAAGTACAAAAATTAGTAGTATTTCTATACACCAGTACTGATCAAGCTGAGAACCAAATCAAAATGTCAAACCTAATTACAATAGCTACAAGAAAAAATAAATACCTAGGTATACATTTAATCGAGGAGATAAAAGATTGCTAGAAGGAAAACTATAAGACAGTGATGAAATAAATCCTAAATGACAAAGACAAACGAAAAAAAAAGCCCATGCTCATGATTTGAAATAATCAATCATTAAAATGACCATACTCCCCAAAGCAATTTACAGATGTAATGCCATTCCTATCAAAATACTTATGTCATTTTTCACAGAATAAGTAAAGATCCAAAAATTCATAAGGAATAAACCCAGAAAAGCTAAAGCAATTCTAAGCAAAAAGAACAAAGCTGGAGGCATGGAGGCATCACATTAACTGACCTCAAATTATATTAAAAGGCTATAGTAACCAAAACCACACGGTACTTGTACAATAATGGACACATAGATCAATGGAACAGAATAAAGAACCCAGAAATAAAGCCACATACCTACAGCCTATAGATCCTCAACAAAGTTGCCAAAAAAAAAAAAAAAAACAAAAAAAACAAAAACAGAGCAAGGAAAGAACATCCTATTCAATAAATGTTGCTGGGAAAATTGGCTAGCCATATGCAGAATAATGAAACCGGATCTGTAAAACTGGGTCTTTTACTTTTTTGATTGTTTCTTTTGATGTGCAAAAACTTTGTATAAGCAGCTAAAAAAATAACATAAAAATGAGCTCCAATACATGTGGCAGCAAACTTCTCAGTGGAAACCTTAGGGGCCAGAAAAGAGTGAGTCGACATATTCATTGTGCTGAAGGAGGTAAAACAAACTTTCATGCTAGAATAGCGCATCCAGCAAAAAATACCCTTCAAACATGAAAGATACATAAAGACTTTCCTAGACAAGCAATAGTGGAGGGATTTTGCCAACACTGGACCAGTTCTACCAGAAATGCTAAAGGGAGTTATTTATTCTGAAAGAAAAAAAAAGATCAATAATAAATCATCTCAAGATGTAAAACTCATTAGTAATACTAAACACACAAATACAGAATATTCTAACGCTGTAACTTTGATGTGCAAACTACTCGTATCTTGAGTAGGAAGACTAAAAGAAAAACCTATCAAAAGTAATAAGTACAATAACTTTATGAGATAGATAGTATAAAAATTATAAATAGAGATAAAATGGCAAGAAGTGGGGGGATGGTGATGCTAAAATATAAAAGTTTTAATTTTTTTTTGCTTTTTAAAATTTTTTTGTGATTCAAATTAAGTTGTCATCAGTTTAAAATATTTGGTTGTAAAATATTATTTGAGAGCCTCATGGTAACCTCAAATCAATACTCTACAACAGATACACAAAAAGGCAAAAAATTAAAACATACTGCTAGAAAATCACTTCACACAAAGAAGAAATATTTATATATTCTGTGAATTTAGTCTATCACTAAATAATTTTGTGATTGACATATGCTGACGTGCATTACTATAGTTTAGTAATTTTAATTGTTGTACAATATTCCACTATATTACTTTACCACAATTTCTTCATCTATTCTATTTTGGTAGATATTTGGGTGTTTGCCAGTTTTTACTTTTGGCTTTTTGTTATATATTTCTTCTTGAGCACCTGTACAAATGCCATCTGAGGCATAAGTAGAAGTAAAATTTTTAGGGCATGTACATATTCAACATTACTAAATAATAAAAAATGTTTTTCAAAAGGTTTATACCAACTTAAACTCTCAACTGAAGCATATGATAATTCTATGTACCGCAGAATAGCAGACAATTAGTGTCTTTGTTTAGTGTTATTCATGTTTGTTCAGTTTTAATGTTTGTTTAATGTTAGTTTCATGTTAGTATCTTTGCTAAAACTTAGTGTTATGGGCTAAATTATGTACCCTTGAAATTTATGAGCTAAATTATGCACTCTTGGGTGTTGAAGTAATAACTCCCAGTACCTCAGAATGTGACTGTATTTGGAGATAGGGTCCTTAATAAGAAAATTCAGATAAAATGAAGTCATATGGGTGAACTGTCATCTAGTGTGACTGGTATCCTTATAAGAAGAGGAAATTAGAACACATATAACACAGAGAAAAATGACTATGTAAGGACATAGTGAGAAGACCACCACCTGCAAGCCAGAGAGAGAGGCCTCAGAAGAAACCAAATGTGCCAATAACCTGATCTTGGACTTCTCACTTTCTGAGTTGTAAGACAATAAAATTAAGTTTTTCTGAGCCACCTAGTCTGTAGTACTTTTTATGGCAGCCTTAGCAAATTAATACACTTAGTGTTGTCTGAATTTTTTTATTTTCATAATTCTAATGAATATGAAATTGTATCTGATTTTAATTTGCATTTTCTTTCTAATATAGTTGAGCATATTTTCAAATGCTTATTGAACACATATGTCTCTGTTTATGTAGAAATCCCTTTTGTCACTTTTGTATATTGCTTTATTAGTAGATTACTTATCTTTACCTATTGGTTTGTAGTGTTTTCTTAATTATCCCAAAACATATTCTGAAAAGTAAGCCTTTGTCAAATGGTATGTATGATAAATATGTTTTCCCTGATGTTTTCCCTGTCATGGAATGCCTTTTCACTTTCTTTATCACTTGCACCTTTTTATCATGTGTAAAATATCTAATCATAGAAATATTATGTTTTTTTCTAAAAGTTTTCAAGTACTATTCTTGTACATTGAAGTACTTAATATATCCATAATTGCATTCTGTGAAGGTATAAAATAGGAATCCAATTTTTTTTTCTATGTAGATAACCACTAATTCCAACACCACATATTAATGGTTTTTATACAGGTGCTGATTAAATTCTGCACTCTCTATTTTCCTGCATTCATTTATTTGCCAGTATAATATGGTCCTATAACTATGGACTTAAAATGAGTCTTAATAATGTCTTGATAGCTGATAGGACAAGTAGAAATAGTCCCTTTACTGGGCTCTTATTGAAGAATATCATTGCTACTCCTGGACCTTTGCTCTCCTAAAAGAGTTAAATAATCTGTAAAATTCCACTAAAAATACTAAAAACCTTGCTCAAATTTTGATTTGAATTGCCCCAAAACACAAATCAATATAATAATAGACTTCTTTGACATATAGTCTATTTTATTCATGAACATAATGTATCTTTTTATTAATTTAGTTCTTTTTAATATTCTCAATATTTTACTTTATTTTCTATGTAAAAATATTATAGATCTTATAATTTTAAAATATATATGCTATTTTGTTGGTATTAAAGATTGAGGCTTTTAATTTTTTTGTTGTAAAAAATTGCAATTACCTTTAAAAAAATTACACTGTCTCTGTTCATCCTGCCAAACAGTTTGTAGGTATTTATCAAAGTCAACGGAGACAATCATAATCTGGAAGTAAGGTCACTTGTAATTATTTTTTTCTATCTTTATCACTTTAAATTTTCCCACTTTAATTGCTTGGACTGAATATATGTTCTTCTTTACGGGGAATAAAGTATGTGTGGTGAGGGGCATTCTATATTCAATCAAGATTTGGAAATTCTGTGTTAAACAAATGAAAATATTCCAGGCAAATTTTCTAAAGATTATTTCAAAAGATAATTCTTTTAGAAACACTAGATTTTAACCTGCTCTCTCCTCCATCCTTGGAGAGGCATGTTAAAGGTTCTGGGAAGTCATGCAGAAAAATACAAATATTTAACTATGTTTAGCTTATTATTTACCAAACTTACATGACCATGTCATCTTGTCTATGCCTATGGAACCTACTACTATTTCACCCAGTTATGTTGCATTGAACAAATTTGGGAAATGCTCTAAACAGCAAAATACTCATTGAACTTATAAGGTCAGATAATCTCTTTCTACCACAGTAATGAAGGAAAGAATTTCTAATCTATGATGCTGAAAGTCCTTGTGAGCCCTATAGTGCTGTAATATCAGATGTTGGTTCCATATTAACTATAAGGCTGGATGGTCTCTGGAAATGGGGAAAATAAATTAGATATGCTGTTCTGCAGGACCTTGGAAATGTAGGGAGAATTTTGAAAGGCAAACATTTGAAAATTCCTTTATGATTATTAAACCTGTCTAAAATAATTGATGCTAGGTGGTATGATCACAACTCAGACTTCTGTGATTGCTTCCTATATAACAATAAACAGAAAAACATTCTTCTACATCATCAAATTTACATTTAAAAATCTATATAATGTATTGATCACTTAAGTGGCAAATTGTGATTAAAATTAAGGCAAATTGTCATTAAAATTTTGCACAACAATTTTTAACTGGCTACCTAATGGTTAGTCAATAAAGTTTAGTGCACATTAGTATGTCTCTAAATTTTGTTTAGCTTTAATTAGCATGTTTCTAAATTTAGGCTTATAGTTTCCAATGTCAAGACACATGGCATTAATCTTTTGGAAAGCTGTAGAATGGTGAAATATAAGGCTTTCCAACGCAGAAAAGTAAGAAAATCTTCTGCCTAGTATTAATAATTTTCTATTCAATTCTGGAAATTCTACTTATTACTAGTTACAATATATACTACCCAGGCAGGACCTAAAGCCTAATTTTCTGATATGTTTTGCCTAACTTTTAGATAGCAGCATTCCATATTGGTTAAGAAAAAAAAAAGTTAGACTGTTTTGGCCACTGGGAGAAAAGGTTGAGTACACATACAATGTAAAATTCTTGTTCAGACAGGAAGACATTGATTTATCCCTGCTACTTTCTATAAGTCCAGCTATGAACTCTGAAATAATGTAAAAACCAAACAGAGAAGAATGATACAAATGGTAAGCAGAACGAATAATGGTTTGGTACTTAAGGATAAACATAACAAACCTGAATCAAGGACCCAGCCAAAACAAGTGGCCTGGCCTTGGCAGCTTTGGGGTCACAGTAGGCCTAACATGTTCCTCCCTGACAAAGAGACACTGAGGTAAATAGTGGGATCATTCAGAAACTAACATGCTACAACAAGCACCCAAGCCAGGAAATACTACCTGTTACTTTAAGGCAAGGAGGATTCCACCACAACAAGGGTCTCACCAGAGAAGCCTCTTTCCTCACAAGCTACAGACTCTCTTTCACATCAAGAGATACTAAGGCAGCCTAGCCTGGTGAAATCAGTTTAGTTCTTTCAGGCAACATCAGCAAAGACCACAGGGAGCCATAGTAGCATCAAATCAACCAAACAGATCAAAATAACACTGCAAATCTCTGAAAAATAAGCTGTCACTGGAATTACATCCTGCATATGTAAACTAGGGCCTTTATGCTAAATGTGACAGTTGAAATAGAAACAAATAAGAGCCAGGGGCTTTTTACATAATAGACAAAATTTCCAATGTATAATTGAAAAAACCTATTATACCAATAAATAAGAAAATCACATATTTAATGAAAAAAGACAACTGACAACAATATTAAGATGAATCAAATGTTGGAATTATCTGACAAATATTTTGAAATAGCCATAATAAGAATGCTTCAACAATTAATGACAAATTTTCTTTAAACAAGCCAAAACATTAGAAAACATCTGCAAAGAAATAGAAGTTACAAAAACAGAACAAAATGAAAAATATAAAAGTAAAAAATTATAAGTAAAATTTAAAACAAATTAAAAAACAACAAAAAATAGCTAATTGTGCCCTGAATGGACACAATAACATAGTAGAGATGACAGAAGATAAAATCAATAACCTTGGAAACAGGTCAAAAGAATCGACCTGAAGAATTGAGGGGAATTAGACTAAGGAAAAAATAAGTACAGTAAACAACTTGTATGACAATAACAAAAGACCTAACGTTCATATAATTAGAATCCTGGAAGGAGAGTAGATAAAAGGAGAATTGCAAAAAACATGTGAAGAAATACTTAGCTGAAAGTTCTCAGGTTTGAAACAAACAAACAACAACAAAAAAAAACCATACAGATTCACAGAGCTTAGCAAAACCTAAATAATATAAGCTCACAGAAATACACATCAAGAAATATTAGATTAAATCTCTAGGATGAAAATAAACTGAAAGCAGCAAAGACAAATTACACTTTAACTACAGGGGAAAAAAACACTTCAAATAACCACGGATTTTTTATCTGAAACTGATTTTTTAATGCTGAGAGAAAATAATTAAAACTCTGAAATCTAAATGTGATAAAACTAAGCAGAGTAAAGGGAAATAAATAACTCTCATATAAAGAAAACTAAAACAGTTTGTCACCAGCACACCTATCCTTAAAGACTGGCTAAAGAATAATCTTCAGACAGGACATCATAAAAAAAAAGTACTCTTGTAGCAACATGCAGGAGGAGGAAACAATGGAAAGAGCAAAAAAATTGGCATACAGGCAAGGTTGCAGGCATCTGTAATCCCAGCTACTCAGGAGGTTGTGTCAGGAGAATCGCTTGAACCTGAGAGGCAGAGGTTGCAGTGAGATGAGATTATGCCACTGCACTTCAGCATAGGTGACAGAGACTCTGTCTCAAAAAAAAAATGGCATAAAAATATTTTTTCCTTATAAGTTATAAAAATTTTATTTTTTCTGAAAAATTATAACATGATCTATTGTCATGAAAATGATAATTTAAAGTGAGACACTAAAAGGAACTTAAAGTAAGGTTTTCACGCTTCGCATGAAGAAATAAAATATTTATGCTAGTAGACTGTAATAAGTTACATGTATAATTCGATACCTAGAACAACCCCTAATAAAAGTATATACTAACTGATTTGCTTAGGAGTTCTATATAAAATAATGTTGGGGTCCTCAAAAATATTCAAGCAAGCCAAAGACAATTAAGACAAGGTAAAATTGAAATGAAAAACAGAGGTAACATAAAACAAATAATTAAGAGGCAAACTAAAACACTAACACAACAATAATTACCTTAAATATAAAAGATCTAAATTTACTAAACAAAAGACATAAATTGCTAAAATTAAAAATGTCTTCTCTGTGAAAGACTCTGTTAATATAATCAAAGGAGAACACATAGATTAGAAGAAAATATTTACAAAGTATATATCAAGTAAAAAATTATATTCAAAATATACAACACTTACAACTGAATAATATACAACTAAACAACTTAATTACAAATGAGCAAAACATATAAAAATCAGTATTGTTTCTCTACACTAACAACAAGCCAAAAAGGAAATTAAGAAAATAATTCCCTTTACAATAGCATCAAAAAGAATGTAATACTTAACAATAAACTTAATCAAGAAAGCAAAAGACTTGTCCACTGAAAACTGCAAAACATGGTGGAGAGAAATTAAAGAAAACAAATAAATGGAAAAATTCCATCTACATGGATTGGGAGGATTAATGTTGCTAAGATGTGAATACTACCCACTTCCTATCAAATTGCCAATGATGTTTTTTGACAAAATAAAAAAATTGATCTTAAAATGCATATGTAGCCACAACGAACCCAGAATAGAAAAAACAATTCTTAACAAGAACAAAGTTAGAGGTGTCATGTTTCCTAATATTAAGACTTACTACAAATTTACTGTAATCAAAACAACATGATACTGGCATAAGGACAGGCATGTAGACCAACAAAATAGAACATAAAAAGTCCAGAAACAAATCTTAGGCTTACAGTCAAATTAGTTTTGACAAGATTACCAAGATCATTGAATTAGGAAAAGGATAGTCATTTTAACAAATGGTGCTAGGAAAACAATATCCACACTTGAAAGAATGAAATTGGACGCCTACACTATGCCATAGATGAAAGTTAATTCAAAATGGATAAGAGGTCAGACATGGTGGCTCATACCTGTAATCCCAGCACTTTGGGAGGCCATGGCGAGCAGATCACTTGAGCCCAGGAGTTTAAGACCAGCTTGGGCCACATGGCTAAACCCCACCTTTACAAAATTACAAAAGTTAGCCAGGCACAGTGGCACATCCCTGTGGTCCCAGCTACTGGGGAGGCTGAGGTGGGAGGATTGCTTGAACCCAGGAGTCGAGGTTGCAATGAGCCTAGATGATGCCAGTGCACTTCAGCCTGGGCAACAGAGTGAGACCCTGTCTCAAAACAGACAACAATAACAACCACAACAACAACAAAAATGGGTCAGAGACCCAAATGTAGGAGCTAAAACTATGAAACTCTTTGAAGAAAATACAGGAAAAGAACTTCATGGTATTGGATCTGACAATTATATTGGATATGGCACAAAAAACACAAACAACAACAAAAAAAGATAAATTGGACTTAATCAATATTTAAAACTTCGAACATCAAAGGAAACTATCAACTAAGTAAAAAGGCAACCCAGAAAAATGGTGAAAATATTTGCAAATCATATATATATATAAAATAAGAGATTAATATTCAGAATATATAAGGAATTCCCACAACTCCACAAAAACTAAACATTTCAGCTCAAAAATAAACAAAGGATTTAAATAGACATTTATCTAAAAAAGATACAAGATAGCCCATAAGCACATGAAATACTGTTCAACATCACTAATCATTAGCATGTAAATCAAAATCACAATGAAATATTATTTCATATCTGTTAGGATAAACATTAATAAAATAAAAAGATAAAAAAACCTAGAAAATAATAAGTGTTGCTGTTGGTGTGGATAAATTGCCCCATAATGCATTGCTGGTGGGAATGTAAAATGGTGTAGCCATTGAGAAAAACAGTATGGATTCTCCTCAAATTAGTATACATAAAATTACCATATGCACCAGCAATTAAAATTCTGATTATATATCCAAAACAATAGAAAGTAGAAACTCAGATAATTGTATGCCTATGTCCACTGCAGCATGACTCACAATTTCTAGAAGGTGGAAATAACCCAAGTATTCACCAACAAATGAATGAATAAACAAAATGTGTTATATACACATAATAGAATATTATTCAACCAAAAAAAGGAATAAAGTTTTAATACATGTTACAAATGAATAAACTTTAAAAATAAGTGAAATAATCCACACACAAAAGAGCAAATATTCTATGATTTCACTAAAATGAAATATCCAGAAAAGGCAAACTCATACAGACTAAAAGTACAATGGTCATTGCCAAGGGCTGAAAGGAGGGGGCAATAGGGTTATTGCTTAGTGGGTATGGATTTTCTGTTTGGGTTCTTAAAAGTATTTTCAAAGTAGATAGTAATGATAGCTGTACAACGTTAGTAATATAATTAATGTCACTAAATTTTACCCTTAAAAATCATTAAAATGCCACATTTTGTTATATGCATTTTCCAAAATAAAAATAAATTTTTTTAATTTATAAGCCCTATACTCTAGTTCACATAATCATGTCCACAGGGGTACATGTTATTAATTTGGATATTGCTGTACATATATAATGAAATTGAACAATTAAATAAATGGATGTCATAGTATGGGAGCAAGGTTTTTCACTGAATAGAGGATTACAGAAAAACAAGGTGATGATCCATTTTGTAACAATTGGAATTGGAAACATCAATATGAACTCATGTTTAGCTTGATATAGATAACAGATGGAGACATATGGAAATATAAATGGACATGTGTATATACAAAGTTTAGCATATCCACCCATTATCTTGTTCTGTGTCTTAGTCCATTCCAGATGCTATAACAAAATACCATAGGCTGGGTGGCTTGTAAACACTAGAAATTTATTTCTTACAGTTCTGAAAGCTGGTGAGTCTAAGATCAAGGCACCAGAAGATTCAGCGTCTAGTAAGGGCTACTTTCTCGTAAATAACCTTCTTCTCACTCTAACCCACATGGCAGAAGTGGCAAAGGGTCTCTCTCAGATTTCTTTTATAAGGGCACTGATCCCCTTCATGAGGGCTCTGTCCCCATCACCTAATTATTCTAAGGTTCCCACCTTCTAATAGCATTACCTTAGGGGTGAAGATTTCAACAAAGAAATTTCACAGGGGCATAAACATTCAGACCCTAGCAATCTGCCAACAACAAAGGCCTACAGGCAATAAAATTCCAGTAGCAATTAGCACACATGTCACTTAAATTTTGTTTTTTGATACATTCCTCAAGAAAGAAAACAGGGAAACTTGGAGAAATGACTGAATTTAGGGCTTGGGCAGGAAATATAGAACATGAGCTTTCAGCATCAAGTAGTGCCAAAAAGTAAAGAAGTGCTTTAAAAAGTCTATGAAATGTCTATGGATGCAGGTATGTCAAGCAGACAAACACCAATTGAAAAGTTCCTGATTGCCAAAATAGTAACAATTAGAGCAACAAGAGAAAGTAGTATTGGATTAGATCTCAAGTATAAAATAAATAGCCAATTTTCCATACTGAAATACATAAAGTATTGAATAAATTAGTAAATGTGGATGAAGGACAAGTTTTAATTGCAGAATTCCAAAAAAATTATGTAGATATAA